>NC_000006.12:155373820-155525335 GCF_000001405.40 Homo sapiens
TTTCAGCTATCACATTTATATTTTATAGACTGGAGAATGCCAATTATTAACACTGATTCTCATAGGCAAGTGTTTTCACTTCTTTGATCTCTTTGATCATTTCTTTGAAACATCTTGGCCCTTGTTAAGGTAGAAGGACTTTAAATGCACAGAGTATTCTAGCTGTGGATATACCATTATTTTTGAGAGTAGAATATTGGTTTCTGCATCAGTTTTGATCTTTTAGTGAAATCGGTATATTGCCTTTAGGGTATAGTTTGTAATGATGGCATGCTGCATAGTATTGTAGATGGGAATCTATCATTTTCCAGGTAATTGGCATTATACTCCCCTGAATGTATTCTGTTACGCTTGCCTATAAGGAATTTCATCTGCCAGTTTTCTGCGCCCATATGCAGTATTGTGAAGTTTTCAGTTTCCTCTGCATAAACGGCATAATATTTCACTATTAAAAATAACAGCGTCATGTGCAAATATGAGAATTTCATTGGAAATAATCTCTTGTTATGTCATATCATCCATTTGTGAATTGGAACAATTTAAAAAAAATATTTTTTCTTGCCCTTCTCTCGTTTTTTGGAGCCATCGTCAGCTATCTTCCAAGATAAAACAGTTAATGAAATTCCACGTTTGCTCCCAAATAATGTATGGCAAAACATTAGCAGTGGACATCTCTGGTTAGCTGGATTATGAATTATTTTAATTTTATTCTCTTTGCATCTCTGTACTTTCCACATTTACAAAGAACATATATTACTTTTGTAATAAGACATATTATTAAATCTACTTGATTTTTCGTGGACTTTTATCAAAGTTTTACTAAGTATTTAAATAAAGACACCTACTGGATTCTTTTTTTCATATGCATCCTTAGAAATATTGGGGAGGTATAACCTCCCCTTCAGAAACTCTTTTGCCTTTCTAGCTGTAGATTATGTCACACTGAAGTGTACAGGGAGCCATATTCTTTGGTCTTTACTCATGAATGCCTGTCACATTACTAGTTTGCCAGTCCTCCATTAAATTGATTTGTCTACACAAGTTTCAATGGATCCAAAATTTCACCCTTGAGTTTCTTCTAAACTCTTGGGTGGAGCCCGTTTAGTTCCAGTGATTACTCAATTGCAGGAGAGAAAATTGTGACCAAATGCATTATTGATTCAGCCAAGAACATCTAGTTTATTTATTGCTGTTTGATTTTTGTACCTGTGACTGATCTGCTTCAAAAGTTAATTTAGGAGCGAGAATGTCACTAATGCCTTCCTTTATACACTTATTCATTCTGCTATCTCCTTTTCAGACCTGAATGGACTTTTCATATCATGGTCATCAATCAATTGGTTTCATCGACTTCTGCTGCCCATGTTTCTAACAAAGATTTTATTACTGAGGTTGGTCCCTCAGAAATGTTGGCTAATTATTTTTTAGCTTTTAAAACTTTTTTTGTATATATTCTGCTATATTTGATATTCCTTATGATTTTTTCCACTTGGGCACACTAATTTTTAATATGATGCATTTTTCAACAGTATCTTTTCTTCCTAAACTTCACTGATAAAGTCTATGGAGTTCTGTTATTGTTGTTTTTACTGTTGAAATTCTCATCTTTTGCTCTGTGGCTTACATTTTTCATGGCCTTCCAAAATAGATTTTAAAATAATTTTCAAATTTTCTTTGGATTGTTATCTCACCTTTTAAACTTTTCTTACTAACATCACTTTTAAAAAATAATTTCCTTCTCAAACTAGGGCCCCATGTCATTGATTTTTTTTTAGGCAGACTCAGTCAGTCTGGAATCATGCTTATATGGATGTTTCCAACAGGGACTTTCTATCCAGCTCATACCCATTACATGGAGCCTTGGATAGAGGGTCCTTTCCCTGTAAGTTTTAAAATGGCATGTCATAGGAAGTAGCTGTCTTAATCAAAATCTTAACTTTACATTTCCACAAATTAATGTGTAGATAACTGAAGTTCCTCATTTATGACTACTAGTGATAATTTTGCAACTTTACTACCCTCTAGTATTTCAGGCTCTGTTGTATTATTTAGATTGGGCCTGGCAAACTTTTCTATAAAAGGCCAGATCCATAGACACTATGTAAACAAATGAGCATGGCTGTGTTCCAATAAAACTTTATTTATGGACTGAAATTAGAATTTCCCACCATTTCGATGTGTCATGAAGTGTTATTCTTCTTTTGATTGTTTTAACCATTTAAAAATGAGAACTTGAAAATTATAGAGAAATAAGCAGTGGGGCCAGATTTGACCTGTAGGCTGTAGTTTGCCAACCCCTAATCTAGATATTTAAGTATAGCATTTCTATCCACGGTGATTCTATCATATTTTGTTTTCTTTTACAGTTTTGCAACTTGTTTTTGTTGAAGACAAGTTTGTCCAACTCGCAGCCTGTGGTCTGCATGTGGCCCAGGATGGCTTTGAATGCAGCCCAATACAAATTCGTAAACTTTCTTAAAACATTATGAGATATTTTTGTGATTTTTTTTTTTTAGCTCATCAATCATTGGTGTTAGTGTATTTTATGTGTGGCCAAAGACAATTCTTCTTCTTTCAATGTGGCCCAGGGAAGCCAAAAGTTTGGACATCCCTGGTTTACAGTGTCTTAAAATACAAAGTCACATCTTCTCCTGTGTGCCTACACTATATCCTTCCTATACGGAGTTTTTGTTTGGCAGCAAGAGACTAGCTGGTTCCATACCTGCTAATTATATCATAGTCTTCATTTGTTGCCAAGTGTTCCCATATGGCCATTTGGTCTGGTAAGTCTTTAATGTTTATTTGAAGCAGTTTTGCATACTGAATTGGTCTTTCACTACCTCTTTCATCCATTAGTTCTTAGATTAGGGCATCTTTATTTTGTTATCCTTATTTTATTTTCCAGATATACCCTCAACCGTCTCCTTGATTGCTGTATTTGAATCTTAGATGAGTCAGATATTATGTTTCCATCCATTTTCCTCCCCATTCCTTACTTTTAAACTTTCTGAAACTTGCAAAATACCTTAACAGCCTTGTGCTATTTTACCTCAGATGGCAGCCTACTTTTTCTGTATAGGTTCTACTTATCCCAAAAGATATGCTGGTTCTACAATTCTCTTCCTTATATCATTATCTCGTCTACATATTCAGACACTGGAAATCTGCTTATCTTTAAAATTCTTCGTAGAATCTACTTTACTTGGAACTTGGACTGAAGTCACTTATAACTTAAATTTGGCCCAGGAGTGATTCAAACTGAGCCCCTACAATTGTTAACTATTTGTTTTCCCCAACATTAGCAGCCTGTTTTATGAAGGTTGCTGTAGGTGTTACAGCAGGCCATTATGCACATGGATCATGGCCAACACAGTCTATTTATGAGCCAGTTTATCTAACCTCATGGACCCAGCTTTTTTCTGTTCAGTAGTATCCCTTGTCTTGGAGATGTTTGGTTAGGATGACATGACTCAGAGAATCTCCTAGGAGGTGGATTCCAAACTAAGACTCATTACTTTATTCACTATTTAGGTATTTTTCTTTGGCGTAATGAAGATAGCATTGAAATCAGATTCAAGAGGTTTGAATTTTTATTCTGGTTACAAGACTTAACCAAATAAGTTAAACCAGTCTAGACCTAAGTTTCTTCTACTGAAAAACGAAGAATTTTCTGTAGTTGGCTTCCCAGACTCTACCTCTAACAGTCTAAGACTATATAGTAGATTGTATGTTAGGAGCAATGATATGCCCAAGTGGTCTGATATTTGGCATATGGAGATGTCATTTCTAGGACCATGACACTTTCATGTGAATTAAAGTCTTGCTATAGTTTGAATGCTTGTCTCCTCCAAGACCCATTTTGAAATTTAATTGCCATTGTAACAGTATTAAGAGGTGGAAAGTTTAAGAGGTGATTAGGCCCAGGAGGACATCACCCGAATGTGTGGGATTGGTGCCATTACAGAAGGGCAAATTCATCCTGCTCTTGTTCTCTTTTCCTTTTGCTTTCTGCCTCTGACACAGCAAGACGGCCCTTGCCAGAGGCCAGCCCCTTGATCTCAGACTTCCCAGCCTCCAGAACTATGAGCCAATAAATGTCTCTTTATTATAAATTATCCAATCTGTGGTATTTTGTTATAGTAGCTCAAAATGGACTAAGGTAAGTCTGAAGTTTTAATTGCTTATTTCTTTAATATGTTTCAGTGATGATGAAAATACCTGTTTGTCAGGACCTCAAAGAACTTTGAAAATTACCATCTTGACTATGCATATGAAGAATTGAAGGCACACAGAAAGGTAGAATTTGCTCAAAATGAGAAAAAAAGTACCAGGTCTCAGAATTAGTTACCAAGTTTTATAAATACTGGTTGAGTGTCCCTAATCTGAAAATCTGAAATGCTCCAAAATCTGAAATTTTTGAGAACAGAAATGATGATCAAAGGAAAGGTTCATTGGAGCATTCAGATTTTCAAATTTTTGGATTAGGGATGCTAAACCAATAAGTAAAATGCAAATATTAAAAAAAAATCTGAAATCCAAACACTTTTGGTCCCAAGCATTTTGGATAAGTGATACTCAACCTGTAGCAGTTTCAGTTAGAGCAAAACATTATCATTGGTTCCTCAAAACTATTTCTAATCATAGTTTCATGATATTTAGTGTATGTTCTTTCAGGTCAAAAGTTCAAACTAATTTTGATTTTTTATTCTCAAAATGACTTGTAAGAGTAATGACTATCCAAGGCAAAAGATCTCTCTTTCCTCTGGGTCCTCAGAACAAGCCTTTTTTTTTTTAATTTTTAAGTAAAGCAAGCTCTTTATGTAGAAGAAATTGAATTAAATGGTGAGACACCATTCAGATTTTGGATTTGGTATCTCTGCGGGTAGAAATGAGATGACTGAATTGAGACATAGAATTAAAGTAATTCATTTCAATATTAAATAATAAAAATGGATAACAGAGTATTTTCCTACTGTGTTTTTCCTATATTAGACACATTTTGCTGGTGGGGGTCAGCATATGTCACACGTGGTAAGTTGTACTCCAGTGGCACTATTGAACATTCACAGTGAGCGTTACTTCAGTTTTGACTACTTTGCCTGTGATGTTGCCTGTTGATATTCACTTTCTTTTGGTAGCCTTCCCTCTAGACTTCTGGCTGCTTATTTTGGCTCTCTGAGTCTAGCTTTTGGCCTCTCTTCTTGGTGTCTGCTGCCTGTAGCCTAGGGTAATACCGCATGTAGGAGGCTTCCAGAAATTGGTGTAGAGGGGGCTCTTTGCACAAGGCAAATTTGGGAGTGTTCTGACTTTGTGAATTTAACTTCAAACAAAGAAAATAGTCTATGACTTGGTGGCTTTTGTTGACATGGTGACTTCTAGATACAAAAATCAAGTAGAAAGATGATCTTCTGAATGTCAACTAGCCTGGCTTATGTTTTGGTGCAATTCCTGGGTGGAATATCAGGCAGATAAATCTATGGCAAGGCATATATAAGTGACATGCAGAGGATATACAGAAGCCACTTAAAATAATTGTCTTTAGTTACCAAAAGATAAATACTGTATGATTCCATTTGTATGAGGAACCTAGATTAGTCAGATTCATAAAGACAGAAAGGGTGGTACCCATAAGGGTCTAGGGGTGGGAGAATGAGGAGTTGTTGTACAATGGGTATGAAATTTCATTTTGTAAGATGAAAAGAGTTCTGGATTTGGATGGTAGTGATCATTGTACAATAATGTGAATGTGCTTAATGGCACTCAATTGTACTTTTAAAATTATTAAGATGGTAAATTTTATGTTATGTGTATTTTACCACAATGTAAAAATATGTAAAAATAGTTGTCTTTAGTTTATTTGGTTCATGTGTAGGTGTTTTCTGCACTCATCAAAATCCAAGGTATTTGTTGATTTGCATTATTAATTTGGTGACATACCCTCATAGGAAATATATCTGCTGATAGTTGAAATTATTAGGGAAGGAAGAGGTCAAGATGGTTACTGAGAGGGCTTCCATTTCAGCTCCAAGATTTACTTTAGTATTCCCCCAAGCCATAGCAAAAATTGATTACTAATTCCACACTTGCAGCACGTAGAGCTTTGTTCTTTTCCTCTTTTTAATTTGAAAAATTAGAATAGCTGGAGAGATGGTGGCAATTTCATACTTCACTCAGCTTCACTCAGAATGTTCAACTTCAACATTTCCTAACTATAAGATGGATATACAACCCATTTGCCCAGTTCTAAGAGTTTGATATGTAGATAGCTAGTTTATTAAGCTTTTTAAAAACACAGAGAACAGGCCAGGTATGGTGGCTCATGCCCATAATCCCAGCACTTTAGGAGGCCAAGGTGGGAGAATTGCTTAAGCCCAGGACTTCAAGACCAAACTGGGCAACACGGCGAGACTCCATCTCTACGAAAACAACAACAACACACACACAGAACAGAAATCGCAAGTCAACTGGTTTTTCTAAAATGCAGGCATATTTGGGCATTTCTACAGGACTCACAAAGCAGAATGTGTATCTATTTATATGAAGGACCTGGAAAAGAATTTATCTCAGTAGAAAAATTAGAGGCTCACGTGTTTGGTCCAGAATGTTGGGGTTTGAGAAGGTTGACACATGATAGCCTCTTTCCCCCCATCTGAATGCTAACCCAAGTGATAAGGTGGAATAAAGGAGATAGAGGGAAAAAAATCCAGTTTTATTACAGTGCTGGAAAGCATGGCTTAGGAGGGGCAATGGAGGCTTCCATCTTGAATCTCAGAATAGATAACCTCACCCCCAATCACAGGCAATGCCATAGGCTCCCGCTGCAGGGACAGAGTGTGCCATTGAGCTTTGGCATGTGGAGAATACACCAGAGCTTGAGTCCTGTATGGGCAGGAGCTGAGCTGCTCATGCCCAGTATTTGCTTCCAAATTTGTCAACGAGATAAAGCAACTCTCTTTCTTAGAGAAGAGTGAGGGAGCTGGAGAGTTTCCAAGAGTGTCCTCTCCCTGTTGTTTCTTCGCGTGAGAGAATGAAGCCCGGGCTCTGGAGCCTTCCCTCTTCCAACCCTCACCCCACTGCGGCACAGCTTGCTCGTCAATATCTTAGGAGATGTGTTCCTGAGTGGAGCCCAGTGCTATCATTCTGTCCAGTTTCTGTGGAACAGACTACATTTAGAGTGATGAAAAGCTAAAAGAGGAAGAAGAGAAATGCTGGGTTATTGAGAGCACAAGGCCTCACCAGCACTGGCTTTTGCAGCTTAGGCAGGAACTGGAGATGATGCTCCGAATCTACATCTATGCTCTCACCTTTGGGTGGCAGCAGCCTTCATGGTAACGTCAGCAGGCATCAGCAGCAGCACTGACAGCTTGGAAATAACAAAAACAACAATAATGATAAAAGCCAATATTAATAAGCATTTATTGTGTGCCAGGAATTCTGTTAAACAATTCACATGCATTAAATCATCCCTTTAAATGTTCTTATTATGAAAATTTGCATATTGAAAAGTAAAGTGTCTGAATAAGAATTACCCACGGATTCATCATCCACATCCAATAATTATATACGTTTTGCTGTATTTGAGTAGGTTTTTGGTGGAAGTATTTTAAACTAAGTAACAGATACGATGACAGTTCACTCCTAAATATTTCAATATACACCTCTGAAAAATAAGGACACTTACTACATAATCATACCATCATTATCACCCTTGTCAAAATTAGCAACAGCTCTCCAATATCATCTAATATTCAGCTATATTCAAATCTTCCCAATTCCCCACCACGAATGTCTTTTATAGCTCATTTGCTTTAACCAGAATCAAATTAAATGTCGCATTTGATTATGATGTCTCTTAACTATCTTTTAATATAGAAAAGTCCTCCTTCCTTTCTTTTTAAAATAGTACAATATAGCCTTTTTTTTTTTCAAAGAATGAATCATCACATTGGCTTTTGAAGGGACCAGAACTGTTGTCCTTTGTAACGTTCCTCCTTCTGTATTTGTCTCATTGTTTCCTTGTGGTGTCATTTAACCCATTCCTCTATCTCTTGTATTTAAAGTCTCAATTAGATTCAAGTAAAACATTTTAGCAAGAATCCTTCATATGCGTTGCTGTATGTGTTAAGTAGCATCACGCTGGGAGAAGTATCTACTTTCTGGTTGTCTCACCATTAATGACACTGACATTGATCATGATCTTAAGGTGGTGACAGCCTGACCTCCCACTGTGGCATTAGATCATCCAAGCCTCAGTGCTGTGGCTATCATGCACATTTGACTGGGATTAGGACTGCAGCATCTGACCCCAGATTCTTAGGCACTTTCTTCTCCTGACTCCTGTTAGCAGTGTCTTTAATCCATGTCAGAACCATGGCTGACCTTTGATGAGTGATACATTTCACCACCGTGAGCCGGTACAAGAAAAGAGGATAATGACAGAGAACTGTTCTGGGTATTCTCAGAATCATTAGCTATAAATTTATGAGAACAGAGTCAGATTTTTTTTTTTTTTGGTAAACTGGTATTATAAATAAAAATGTTCTCTGTTTACATTTTCACTCTTAGGCTATTTTGGCCTGCAAAAAAATATGGTTACACAAAACCAAGCGGGTTAGTAGCCACATTCCTACCCTAGTGAGGCAGATGTGGGAGTGAGTAGCTGCTGCTGGTGAAAGACTTGCAAAGTGTCAGGTGGGTCAGAAAAACCAGATGTCAACACACCCACTGTGCACATTCTTTTTTCTCTTAATCATATATATACTGCCTTGGATCGTTTGTTCTTGGTTTTTTTTTTTTTGTATGCCTAGTGTTATTTCCCTGCATGATTGTAAACCCTCTGAAGGCAGGCTCGGTTTTTGTCTTTTAGAAACAATGTTTATGTGGGAAGATAAATATATACAACTACCCCTATTCAAGACTACTTAGGGAAAATTGATTATATTTATCACGTGACCATGAGCCAAGGAGTCAATCTTTGAGCTCTTTCCTCCTCAGTTAGTGTTCAGCACTGGTCTGCACTGTGTGGTGGAAAGTCCGTAACAACTTGAACTGACAGCAAAAATGCCTGCAGGCTCACATACATGGGCTATGAGTAGAACACAAAACAAATACTTTTGCTCTGTCTTGGTTCTTGGTTCTTAGGGTAGCTTTGACATACAGAAAGTCTTAGAAACAAGGAAACAGGAACTTCTTCTTCTTTTTTTTTTGAGACAGAGTCTCGCTCTCTTGCCCAGGCTGGAGTGCAGTGGCGCGATCTCGGCTCACTGAAAGCTCTGCCTCCCGGGTTCACGCCATTCTCCTGCCTCAGCCTCCTGAGTAGCTGGGACTACAGGTGCCCGCCACCATACCTGGCTAATTTTTGTATTTTTAGTAGAGACGGGGTTTCACCGTGTTAGCCAGGATGGTCTTGATCTCCTGACTTCGTCATCCGCCCGCCTCGGCCTCCCAAAATGCTGGGATTACAGGTGTGAGCCACCGCGCCCCAGCCGGAAACAGGAACTTCTTAATTAAGCATGTTAGAAATGTAAAAACATGTATAAAAATAAAAATGCTTATATCTAAGTGTGTGTGTATAGGCTGGGTGCTCACGCCTGTAATCCCAGAGCTTTGGGAGGCAGACACAGGAGGACTGCTTGAGCCCAGGAGTTGGAGGCTGCAGTAGGCTGTGATCCTGCCACTGTACTGCAGCCTGAGTGACAGAGTGAGACCTGTCTCTTAGAAGCACACACACACACACATATATATGTATATATATAATGTATTTGTAAACACACAAACACACACATTCTAGAGAGAGTGACTAAATTTTCAGAGTATTCTCATTAGAATTTGATTAATTACATCAACTCATTTGAAATTTCCCCTTTGTATTTCTAATGATCTCTCTATGTGTATTTGTTTTGTCTGTCCAGTTTGGACTGTAAGCTCCTTGCAGACAGCCCTGTTGTTTTATACATTTTACTCAACACAATACTGTGGGCATAATTTGTGCTCAAGGAACACTTATGACAGAATCACAATAAAGGCCCCACATTAACTATTCTGAGGATGCCAGAGTCTGGTCAGCATTTTACTGTTTCAGATGGTATTTGACTTCCACATAAGATTAAGCCTGCATAGTTCTTTTATTACTCTGTATTTTGGTCACCCGTTACTATTCTACACCTCCAAGCATTTTCTGCTAAAGAAGCTGACTGAGCAAACCCATGAAGATATTTTTCATTTCCTTTGATGGAGCATAATGCTTTCGTATATAAACACAATAACACAGTCATTACATATGCACTTACATTATTGTAGCGGCTGTGTGCTCAGCAACACTCGCAGCCAGGCAGGGAGCCCAATAGTTCTCTTTTCCATTCTGATCTAAATTATGGTCATAATAAAAGAGTTTTCAATCAAGGTAAATACAATTGCGTCCTAGCATAACATCTATATTCCTGCTCTCTCTCTCTTTTTTTCAAAAAAATTCTTTCCTTTTATTCTAGGTCACTCACCCTGATACGCATGAGATTGTCCTCTGGTGCGGATAACAGCCTTGCTCCTCAATGAACTATAACAACGGCTGTAAATGCATCTCCTGTAACATACCTCTGTGATTTGCAAAAGTGGGAATAAATCAATGCAGGGAAGAGATGCCACGTTAACCCAGAAGCTAAATGTTACATCATGTAGTGCGAGGCTGGGGAAGAGAGAGCCTGCTTTTTCCTGGCAGTACAATATCTTTGCGCTCGTTGCCTCCGCCACAGCCCCATTAAAACAATCATTCTGAATCTGCGGGAAATTGTCACCTCTTTCTTTCCTGCCATGGCAGCTGGTATTGGAGGCTGCAGACATTGCTCATTCCCTTCAAGGTTCTTAGCACACACGCAAAACAGAAAATGAAGCTTAATTTATTAAAAAAAAAAAAAAAGTGTCAGCGTACCCTCAGGCTCAGCGCAGGCACCAGGGAGAAAAGAAAAGATAAATGCCTCTAGGTGAACTGGCACCGACTCTAATTCTCCACTCACTCTGCTGCTCCACTGTATGTATCGCATTAATCATGCTGGATGGGTAGACGTTTCAAAAACTTAAGCAATTTTAAAACAAAGATGCACCATTTTACAAATACAATAACATAACTTTATTTTGTGATTCTTTCTTTGTACCAACAGTGAATCTGAAAAATGTGCTGCAGATGGTAGTACAAATAATTAATGCCTGGGTTGGGGACGGGAGGGAGAAGCATGAGGAAACAGACAAGTGTGGGCAGAAGAGGGGCCATGGCTGCCTTCTCCTTTCTCCTCTTGTGATCTTCCCCAGATCCTGGGTCACCTTTGATGACCTGGGTGATGTCCCTGGGCTCCTGCTTCTGAGAACTGAGCCCTGCTTTGGTTATGACTACCTTGTTCTCCTGTGAGTTTAGGAATCTCTAGTCCCGACACCCAGGCCTGTGACTGGCGCCCTGTCTCCTGTGTTTCATCTTCCTGATAATGACACTAGCCATCTTCAGTCCAACGTGCTGTCCGCATGGGGTATCCACTATCCTGCCCTTCCCTTTCCTGGGAAGGGCCTAGCTCCTCCAGGAAGTCTTAGTGTCCACTGTGGCTTGGCCCATGACTCTTCCTTGGGCACTACACTCTCGCTGCATGCCCGGCTGCTTTTGCACCCCAGACTGGGCCTGCCTCCCTGCCCCATACTGCTGTAGTTTGGGAGGTTTGTGGCAGACTGCTTCTCGTGTTTTCTGACTGCGTTTCTGTCATCCTCTGACCTTCACTCTCAAGTTGGAAGGAAATAAATGAGGAGAAGTGGAGTGTAGGTTCCAGGAACTCAAGACAGTGGGACTGTGGCAAAGACAACTGGCACTCGATGGACATTTTAGTGGATTGGAGTATCTTGGTGCAAAGTCCTAAAAATCTGAATCCTCAAACGATTGAGACAAGTGTGTGTGTGTGCTGTGGGAGAGGCTAAGAGAGCCCAGGTCTCTTTCACTACAGGTTTCTGGGAAGTTTCTAGACATCTGTTGTTGAGAGAATAGCCAGGCTTTCCTTGTCACAGATAAAATGATGAATTGGACATGCTCTCCTTGGTTCTTGAAAACCAAATGTCCAAACTTTCACCTTTAATTTGTAAAACAGGAGTACAGAGCCTCAGCAAGGATGAGCTTGGGAAACACCATCTACTGAAGAAAACCCATGTCCCAATAATTTGGGCAATCATCCCTTGCCTAACAGAGCAAAAATCTACCAAGAATATTTTAGTTATTATGAGATATATCAGGTGTATACAGAATTACAGCTTATGTAATAAAAATTTAAAAAGCAATTTGAGAAATAAATATTACTGAGACTATTGAAGCCCTCTTTTATTCTATCTGTTCCCATTCTCTCTTCCCTCTCATCAGAAACAGTGTTCTGAATCTGGGGCTTATAATTTATTTTCTGTACAATTCTTTAAACCTATAATATGCATGTGGTTATATGTGTGTATGTTTGTGTATAAGGAATACTGTTTTGTAGGATTTGCAATCTTGTTTAGTGGTTCCACTCAACGTGTATTCTTCTACAATTTTTTCTTTTTCTCAATATGATTCTAAATTCTGGGATCAGTAGACCGGCACGTGGGCCAAATCCAGCTGATTGTTTGATTTTATACACCCCTCGAGCTAAGAATGGTTTACATTTTTAAAGAATTAAATGATAAAGAAAATCAAAGAAGTAGACATGGCAGAGGCCATATGTGGCCAGAACAACCTAAAATATTTATGATCTGCCCCTTTATGGAAAAAGTTTAATGGCTCCTTTTTGTTAGTTCTGTTGGGTTATTCTTACCTCTTGATTCTTCTATATAGACATTGAAAAAATTAGCCTGTCAAGTTTCATGGAAAGCCTCGTTTTGATTTTGTTGAAATCACTTTGAATTTATAGATCATTTTGAAGAGAACTGACATATATATGGCATTGGACCTTTTGATATGTATTAGTTATCTGTTGCTGCTTAACAAATTACCAAAAATGTGTCAGCTTGAAACAATACAAATTTATTACATTATATCTATTTATTTTAGGTCAGTCTCCAACATGAATCTTACTAGACTAAAATAAAAATGTTTGCAGGACCGCAGGCCTTTTGGGAGCCTCTAGGGCAGGATGCATTCCCTTGCCCTTCCCAGCTTCTAGGGGCTGCCCATGTTCCTTGGCTTACAGCATCTTTTACCTTCAAAGCCATTGAAACTATCACTCCAAACTTTGCTTCTGTTATCACATCTCCTCTGACTCTGTCGGACTCTTCTGCCTCTCTCTTTCATTTTTTAAGATCCTGGTGATAACATTGAGCCCAGACAGATAATCTAGGATAATCTTTCCATTTCAATGCAACCATCTCAAAGCAGCCATAATTTCATCTGAAACCTTAATTCTCCTTTGCCATATAATCTCACATGTCACAGGTTCTAGGGATTAGGATGTGGGCATTTTGGTTGGAGGAGAGGGATTAGTCTACCTACCAGAAGCCTATCTAGTGAGTTTTTTCTTTCAGTTAGTATATTTTTAAATTTCAAAACTTGCATTTGGTTCTTTTTATATCTTTTATTTCCTTGCTAAGACTATTTTTTCATTTGTTTCACGAGTGATTTTAATTGCATGTTGGAATGTTTTTATGATAGCTGCTTTAAAATTTCTTGTTAGATAATTCCAACATTTGTGTCATCTTGGTGTTGGCATCTGTTGATTTTTCTCATTTGGGTTGAGTTTTCCTAGTTCTTCGTATGACAAAAATTTTGGATTGTATCCTGTACATTTTGAGGATAATGTTATGACACTCTGGTTCTTATTTAGATCTTCTATTTTAGTTGGCAGTTAGCAGGTTTAGGTTCAGAAACACACATCCTGGCCCACTTTGGTGGTTTGTGGTTCAAATATCAACTTAGTTTTCAAAGGCGTTGCCATGCTATTTTGGTATGCCCCACTTATGTGTAATCCAGAAGCCAATCTAAAACCTGGGCAGTATTCCTCACCAGGGTTCAATTCTCAACTCACTGGCTGTGTTGATTCTGGTTGGTTTCACACACTGGCCTCTTGGGAAACCATCCAAGATTTCATGCACAGATTTAAGAACTCTTTCCTTCAGCTCCCTTCTGTCTGTGATTCCCCCATCCCCAACACACACTCTCTAGCCTCTGCTAGATACTTACTAAGTGCAGGGCAGGAATGATTGACAGGTCTCCCCCTTACACTCTCGGATTGGGGTTGGAGGCAGGGTGTGGGAATTGGGGTGAAGGTGAAGGACTAATACTTCTGTCATATTTCATGTTAGCACAGGGCAGATATGGTTGATTAATAGAGTTTCTTTTTTTGGTAAAAGTTTCAAATATTTTGTTAGAATTATTTATTGGCACCTTGTACTGTTTGATGCTGTTCTTATACTTCCAAACATTTTTAAAAAGTAAGTTTGACTTTTGAGGTAAGTTGATTGGAGATTTGAAGAGTATGGCACAAGATTATGATACGAATATGTCATGATGATGTTCCTTTCCTTAGGGGATTACTTAATTGAATCACCAAATGGAGATTGGGTCATGATTGAGCTGTTGTCTTTAAGACCAATCAGGAATTTTTATTTTTAATTACTTATTTATTTATATTTTTAAGGAATTTTTATAATAATTTGAAGGTGTTTGGAATTGATAAAGGATTCTTAAAACAGTTTTTCTTCTTTTCAGCATCTGAGACGATCCTGGGAGAAAGTAACTTAGAGGGCTGCAGATATTCTTATAAAAATTAATAGGAAAAACAATTTAAAAATTGAAGAAAAAAAGAGAAGAGAAAAAAATCCCAACATGACAATAGCTAGTAGATGTATAAGAAGACACTTTAAATCATTTGGTAATGAGGTCACTTATGTTGATAGAAACATGTTCCACTTCATTTACCAACCAGGGAATGACTGGTTGATGAAGCATGGTGAGCAGGGCTTTATTCTTGACAGTAGCATGCAGGATCTTTGCCTGTAAGTTTGTATAGTTTGCATAAAGTGGGATTAGGCTTAAGCAATAGTATTAACTTGGAAATTTGCATTGTACATATTGGAGGCCACAAAAGTACAATTTATACTTTTCTGAAAGGTTTATAGGAAAAGATGAAACAAGTAAGATTATAAAACAGTGGTTTTGGGATAGGGTTTGGAGTGAGTGATGAAGGAAAGAGGAACCAAAGATGATTCAGAGGTTTTTAGTGATTTTAGCTTAGGCATTTTGGTAGATGATGGTGCCATTCACTAAAATAAGAAAAGCTGGAGGAAGAACAGCATTATGAAGAGAAAAAATAAAGAATTTGGTTTTGGATATGTTACATTTGAGATGCTTATTATATTTCTAATGATGGAGTAGGCAGTTGGATATATCAGACTGGAATCCAGGGGAGAAGTCTACACTAGAGTTTAAATTTTGGGCCTCATCAGCAAACGGATGGTGTTTGAAGCCACAGGATTGTATAATATTAGTCAAGGGAGGAGAATAGACAGAAAAAGAGCAGAGGGACTATGACCAATTCAAAGACATGCCAACATTGTGAAATTGGATAGAGGAGTCTGAGACAAAAACAAAGAGATTGTTTTGACAGAAGTCAAAAGAAGGAAGTGTTTCAAGACAGAAAAATTGGTCATCCATTTCAGTTGCTGCCAAAAATAAAACGAAGTTGAATTTCACACCACGGAGGTTATGGTGAGCCTTGAAAATAGTTATAGTTGTAGAGATAATCCAGTTGAGTGTAGTAAGAGAGAATGTTGTGGACATTCAACTCTGGACAGTTATTGCTCTACACACGTGCACACACACACACACACACATCCACCAATAGACAAGATAAAGGAAAAATGTAATCTAATACATTCAAAAACTTGTGCTCAAGAGAAGGAACAGAGGATTCTGGAAGAGAATGGAGAGCAGCTACATGGTTTGGCTTCTACCTCATTTACTTCTCTGAAGCCCCACAGGTGGTCAAAAAGTCCCAAGAAATTTCATTAAAACTCTTGCTTGTGGAATGTAAAGAGAAGATATAATGTTGGGAAAGTATGAATTAAATGGATGAATAAAGAAAAAAAAATCAAGAGAGCCAACTTTCTCTGTTGAAAGAGAAGAATCCAAAATTCACACTCAGTTGGGGAAAGGGTTCAAAGCTTGGGAATATCTCATTGTGGAAATACATTATATCCTCTCTCCTCTACTCCATTAGTTGGAATGAACTCAGATACAGGACAGTCCATGTCATCTCAGAAGATAGAAAGGAACCGAAAAATTGAACGTATCTCCACACCACTCAGGCTGAGCTTCTGTGCTCTTCTGCACAACACTCCATGCCAGCTGCTGTTCTCTCAGACTACAAAAAAGCGGATAAAAACTGAAATTCCTGGCTTTAGAAGAGAAAACATGGTTCACAAAAACCTGTACATGAGTGTTTATAAAAGCATTATTCATAATGGCCCCAAAGTGGAAACAACTCAATGTTCATCAATTGATGAATGAATTAATACAGTGCAGCATAACCATACAATGAAATATATTAGTTTGGCAAAAATAATGAAGTACTAATACTTGCTATAACATGGATGATTATTGAAAACATTATGCTAGGTGGAAGAAGCCAAACACAAAAGACCACTTATTGTATGTTTTCATTTACATAAAAATGTCCAGAATAGTTAAATCCATAGAGACAGAAAGAAGGCTAGTGGTTGCCTAGGGCGGGCAGCAGTTGAGGAGAAATGAAGACTGACTGCTAATGGATATGGACTTTCTTTTTGGAATGATAAAAATGTTCTTCACGGCTCATGCCTATAATCCCAGCACTTTGGGAGGCTGAGGCAGGTGGACTGCCTGAGCTCAGGAATTTGAGACCAGCTTGGGCAACATGGGGAAACCCCGTCTCCACTAAAATACAAAAAATTAGCCAGGCATGGTGGCATTTGCCTATAGTCCCAGCTACTCGGGTGGCTGAGGCAGGAGAATCGCCTGAACCTGGGAGGCAGAGGTTGCAGTGAGCCGAGATCGCACCACTGCACTCCAGCCTGGGCGACAGAGCAACAGAGTGAGACTCCATCTCAAAAAAAAAATGTTCTTCACAACAGTGAAATTATGAAATCAACCCAAGTGTTCATCAACAGATGATTGGATAAAGAAAATGTGGTACATATACACAATGGAATCTTACCATAAAAATGAATGAAATCCTGTCATTTGCAGCAACATCAGTGGAACCGGAGGTCATTATGGTAAGTGAAATAAGCCACATGTTCTCACTCATATGGGGGAGGTACAAAAGTGGGTCTAATGAAAGTAGAGAGTAGATTGGTGGCTACCAGAGGCTGGGGAAGGGTAGCGGGGAGGGGGAATGAAGAGAAGTTGATTAATGGGTACAAATATATGGTTTGATAGACTAAACAAGACCTAATGTTAGACAGATCAGTAGGGTAACTATAGTTTACAATAATGTATTGTACACTTTGAAATAGAGGAGTAGAATCTGAATGGTTCTATCAAAAGGAAAAGACAAGTATTTAAGATGATGGATATCCCAAACACACTTATTTGATCTTTGCAAATTATATGTATGTATTAAATTACCACATGTACCCTGGAACTATGTACATCTATTATGCATAAATAAAAATGTTCTAAAATTTACTGTGGGAATGGTTACACAACTCTATAAATATACTAAAAATGATGAAATGATGCATTTGAAGTGGGTTAATTTTATGGTATGTGTATTATATCTCAATAAAGCTATGGGGGAGGGGAGAAACATGGTCTTGGAGATGGTGGGGTGGAGGGAAACAACCACAAATTTATCACAATATAGAAGAACCAATAACATATCTAGGCAGAGTCAACTAACATGAGAAGGTGAAAAAAAATACGTGATGTATATAGCAAGTGTGGAGATACTACAGGCAAAAAGGGAAAATACCATGTAGTAGAAGAAAAAGCAACTCAATCTGGTAGAAATCATAACTCAGGTAATTCTTCACTGTTTGTTTATGTATGGAGAACATAATGAGAATATTAATTTAATAAGAGAGATAAAAGACAAAACTATAAAAAAGAATGAGATCACAAGGGATATTGCATTCTAAGGTAACAAATCAAGGCTCAAAGCAACATCTTTGTGGAACAAATTAAATATTTTTTTAAACAGTAAGGAACAGAATAAATATCACTGAAAGCTGGTTTCAGGACTATAATCTCTCCCTAATCTGAAATTCAAAAAAATATAAAAAATTATGAAAAGTGAGAGTACTTTTTTGTTTGTAACCCCACTTGGCAGCATAATGTCATAATGTGTCCTGAACAGATGTGAGGCTATTTATAATCTTTCTTTATGCAAGTTGAATATCTACATTTATAGTTTTGTTTGAAAAAATAAAACATTAATGCTTTTGAATACTGGGTGCTTCCCAGACTCTACTGAGAGTATCATACAATATATGGGATATGCATTTGTTATTTTCTAAAATATGAAATTATTTCGAATTCCAAAACATATCTGGCTTCAAAGGTTTCAGAAAGAGATGGTAGGCCAGTGATAAAATAGGGGAAATGATATGTAAATAAAAGAAACAAAGAGATTAAATTAATTAGAAATACTAAAAGAATGGAAAAAAGAAAAAAAAGATCCAGTAGAAGGATAATTGATGCTTTTGAAATGAGGCAAACAAAAGCAATAGAAGTATATTTAAAGACCTAATAAAAAAATTTCTGAAGTGAAGAAAAAAGTGTTCAAAAAACACACTGGGCCGGGCACATAATCCCAGCACTTTGTGAGGCCAAGGTGGGTGGATCACGAGGTCAGGAGATTGAGACCATCCTGGCTAACGTGGTGAAACCCCGTCTCTACTAAAAATACAAAAAATTAGCTGGACATGGTGGCGTGCACCTGTAGTCCCAGCTATTCGGGAGGCTGAGGCAGGAGAATTGCTTGCACCTGGAGGGCGGAGGTTACAGTGAGCCGAGATCACGCCACTGCACCCCAGCCTGGTTGACAGAGCATCTCAAAAAAACAAAAACAAAAACAAAAAAACCACTGCAATACAGGAAAAATTCATGTGAAATATCAATATCAAATTGCTACAAAGTTCAAAGATAAAATTATTTAGGCATCCAGGCAAAAAAAGTAACTTACTTACAAAGGGGAGAGGATGAATTTGGCCTCTTACTTCACCACAGCAATATTCAATGACAGAAAATGCTAGAGTCCTATCTTCAAACTAATAAAAGGAAGAAAATATGGTCTAAGAACACTAAATTCAGCCAAATATCAGTATGAATTAAATCAGGAAATATAACAGTTGTTAGCGCTTCTTAAAACATATTGCTTGACAGTCAAACAAACTAGTAGCTTAGGCTCAATAGAAACTCAAGAATAGAGAAGTTATGTTGAAAGGAATAGCGGTGGGCATTGAATCCATGTGAGGTTACCCCTCCTAGTTTACGTATAAAGCTTAATAAAGCCTACATTTAATCAACATTGCTTTCACCCTCCTGAACAATGCATGGATCTTGGAATGACTTAATTCCAGTGTCATCTCCCCATCTTTCATATTGTTGTCCGTATCCTTAGTTTTGTTTTATTTTTATTTTTTTGTATTTATTTATTTATTCATTTATTTATTTATTTTTATTATACTTTAAGTTTTAGGGTACATGTGCACAACGTGCAGGTTTGGTACATATGTATACATGTGCCATGTTGGTGTGCTGCACCCATTAACTAGTCATTTACATTAGGTATATCTTCTAATGCTATCCCTCCCCCTTCCCTCCACCCCACAACAGGCCCCGGTGTGTGTTGTTCCCCTTCCTGTGTCCAAGTGTTCTCACTGTTCAATTCCCACCTATGAGTGAGAACATGCGGTGTTTGGTTTTTTATCCTTGCGATAGCTTGCTGAGAATGATGGTTTCCAGCTTCGTCCATGTCCCTACAAAGTAGTTTTGTTTTTAAAAGAACATTCCCTCTGAAATACTCATTAATTTTCTTTTACAGTCAGTGATTAGAGATTTTGCCAAAATGTTTTTCAATGTCTTTGCTCATCATTGCATATTGCATTCCACTAATTGTCTTTCCTCCTTCCTTAAATATATCCTTTTGTAATTATTTTGGTGAAGTAGTTACATTTCTGTTTTCTTTTGTTTGGAGATATCTGTATTTTGCCTTCACCTTTGAATAATAATTTCACTACGGACAAAATTCTCAATGGATACTTATGGTTCCCCAGCACTTCGAAGATATTATTTCATTATCATCTGGTTTCTGTGGATGCTTTTGAGAAGGCAGCTGCCAGATATACTTCTGTTTATTTGCAGGTAATTGACCTTTTCCTCTCTGGTTGCTTTAAGTTCTTTTATTTAACAATGATGCTTCTGGATTTGAAATTTTCCTTCCTCCCCCTCCCCACTCCCCACCGCCTTGCTTCCTTTCTTTTCCTTTCTGTTCTTTTTGTTTTCTCTTCTTTCTCTCCTCTCTTCTCTTCTTCTTTTCTTTTCCACATTTTTTTTGGCATCTCTCTTTCTCAGATATTATTCTAGATAAACTTTAGGATATTTACCCTTCCAAAAAATCTACAGAGAATTTAAAATTTGACTGGAATTTCACTTGACTGTTAATTAATTAGGGACAAATTTGTAACTTTAGTATGTTTAATATTTCTATTTAGAAACGTGCTATTTCTATCCATTTAATAATGTCTGCCTATGAATTGCATGTTTATTTATCAAATCGTGTTGCATAATTCTTGTTAAATGAACTTACAGGTTTGCCAGATTTTTGTTTCTGTTTTGAAGAACTATTTCATTTTTTAAATTCCACATTTTCTATTTGGTCATTGCTGCATTAAAGAAACCTATTGACTTCTGTATTTTTTTGTGTCTGGATAGGTTTGATTCTACATAGTATGCAGGGAAGTAGCATAAAGGTCAAAACACAAAAGGGGGTGCAAACAGCATCCCCGGAGCTTAAAAAAAGTGGCAAAATCTGTGTTTAAGGGCAAGTATATTCTAATTTACTAGACAAAATTAGATGATCAAAAAGTACTTTTATTTTCAAGTAGACAGAGAAAGAAAAGTAATAATTAAACATGACCAAGAGAAAAAATTTTAATATATTTAATATCCTGCTAAAGTAAAGATTAGATTTAACTATAGAAATTTCTGGTTGCAAAGCCTGAATTAAACTTAAATGGGGAAATGATTACACAGAAAGACTGGTTCTATTCAAATTAGTAGAGTTTGAGTTATATGCATCAAGCAATACCTCAAGTTACTGAGAAATTCTAATGCAGAGATAGTAGAAATAATTTTTTTAGACATGAATGGAATATTCCTAACTTATAAAATCAATATCATCATAGAAATCATCAGGTCAACATAAAAATCTGAGGATAAAGAAAAAGAAGTGATCAATTTATAATTTAGAAATACTTAGAGAGCTTAAGAGGCTGCCTTTGTCAAAACATATCATGTCAGATCAATTTAATTCTCTTTTATGGCAGAATGACAGTCCACAAAGTTAAGAAGCCTTTGAGAAACATAATATATTTTAATTTCAGTAAATGTTTTTGTTCTGTTGTATATGACATGTTATTTATAAGCTAAGGAAGTATGGTATAGTGTACTGTTCACAATAGTTAATTATTATTCACCAGTTCCCAACTGGGAGCTCATATCAACAGGCCGTCACAGGAATTCCTGGTGGAGTTCTTTGGAATCAATAACTTGATTGAAAACCTAAACAAAAGATTTGAGATATTATCAGTGAAATATGTAGATATTACAAGCTACATACCAGTAGTAGTGTCTGGGGCTAAACTTCAAAACAATCTTGAAATATTAGAAAAATTCTAAAAAATTAATCAATATTAGTAGCAAGAATTATAAGATGTGAGGACTACTTTGTAAACATCTTGGGAGTAAAATAGCTGCATAGTATAGAAAGACTGGCGCAATGGGAATTAAAAAAAATCTCAGTTATTTTGTGGGGCAGAAGTTGAGTAGGAGTATAAGTGTTAAGAAGACCACAGACCAAAATGTGGTAGAATAACAAGCATTTGTTAAAAGAGATTGAGAAAGAAATATGAAAGGAAGACAGAAAGGAAGGAAGGCAGAAAGAAGGAAGAAAAGAAAACATAAAATTTATTTGTAAATATATGGCATATAAGCTCTAAGAAAGTCCCTCTTTTGCTCAATACTAGTCACGCTTCTCAATGCATTTTAAAAGGATGTGAAGAGATGGAATTGAATTTGAAAAAGAGTAACAAGATGATGGAAGGGCTTGAATATATATCCTAGGCCAAAAGGTTAAAAATTTAGTATTGTTTGGACCAGAAAAGGGATAGGAAAGGGATGATTTGATTATCATTTTCAAGTATCTAAAGGATTTTTGTGAAAGATAACCTCCATTGGTGATTTCTCCGGTCTACAGAGGATGAACAAAAGCACAAAAGGAGCTTAAGTTTAAAGCAGAAAAGATCAGGTTTGGATATAAGGTGGGTGTCTCTGCCATCAGGGAAATGAAAATTTGAAATGATTTCTAAAGGAGACTTCAAGCCAAGAAGCAGCGTGAGTCTCCGTGTTGGATGTAATGTAGGGAATGGAAACAAGTTTGGGAAAGACAGCCTATGCCAGGGGTCAGCAAGCTCCAGCCCACAGGCCAAATCCAGCTCGCCCCCTGAGTGTGTGGATGGTCGATGTGCGAAAAGTGACTTTTACAATGTTTAAAAATTTCATGTTATAAGAAAATTATATGAAATGTGACTTCAGCGTCCATCAGTAAAATATTATTGGAACACAACTATGCCCATTCATTGACGTTATTGTTTGTGGCAATGTTGGCACTTTACAATGGCAGAGTTCAGTAGTTGAGAGTCGGACCATACAGTGCATAGAGCCTAAAATGATTACTGTTTGGCCCCTTATGGGAAGAGTTTCCCAATCCCTGACCTGTATGATTGCAGCCACTTACACAATGCCTGGACTTGACCTCCAAAGTCTAGAAGCTCTCCTTGTTGTAATAGAAATGAACACCTCTGGGGTCAGCTGATGAATACAAGTGGCACATCTTTTGAAGTGTCCTCGAGAGAGCTTTAGGTCCACAGAAGAACACGCCAATACTGCTGCTGCAGTAGGGGTAAGAAAAGGAAATAAAATGTCACCAGGAGGCAAGGCCAGCCAGAAGCCAAGACAATGATAAGATTAATGAAGTGGTTGTGGCTTTACTTATTTATTTTTCTCCCTCCATGTCGTTTTTTCTTAGATTCTTTTTTTCTACCTACTTTCAGCACCATGCTCTCTCCTAGGTTCCCAGCATCCTCCCCTAAATTAATCAGGGAGGTGGAGCCAAGAAGACTGAGGCTGGAAAGGGGCCATGAAACTGTTGAGGGGTTTTGATACAACACCCTGCAATGTTGGCACTTTACAATGGCAGAGTTCAGTAGTTGAGAGTGGGACCATACAGTCCATAGAGCCTAAAATGATTACTATTTGGCCCCTTATGGGAAGAGTTTCCCAATCCCTGACCTATATGATTGCAGCCACTTACACAATGCCTGGACTTGACCTCCTTTTTGGCCAGGTGACCTTGATTCATGTCTTCTTGGATACGTGACCAGATGTTAACTTCCTGAGAACATAAACCTGGTCTGTTTTATTCCAGCACCTGGAACAGTGCCTGGCATACAGTGGACAATCAACACACATTTGCTGAATGAATGACTAAATGGCTTTCCTGAGTAGTATCTGCGTGGTCTTGGGCAAGTCACTAGACCTCAGTTTCTGCATGTGGAAAAGATGATAAGGACTACGTTGTATGTTTTATCAAAAGCAAGATGAGATAATACATTCAAAAGGGTTTTAAAAAGGTTAGTTATCACTAATATCCTGTTCAGCCCTGCCTTTTTATAGATAATAAAATTAATGCTAAAGTAATAGCAATTTAATTAATTTCTCCTGTTGGAATTACTTTAATTTTCAAAGAAGGCCAGAAGGGAGAGCTGGAAAAGAAAAAGACATTGCTGAAAATATAGTCACCCAAACGTTGTCATCTCTAATCTTGACATTTCAGAAAACTATGTCAGAGAGATACTTTTTGCATATAGTGGCTATCCCAGAGCTGCTCAAATGCCTTGCAACTTAGCCTACATATAAACACCACATCTGCACAGGGTTTCAAAGTTGTTTCTGGAAGTTGGGGTGCATCAGTCTCTATAGAGATTTTTAGAGACCATGTCTTTTTTCTCTTGTCTTGAATATTACTATTCTTTGTAGCATTTTTTCCAATCTCTAGTATAAGCTGAATTAGTTACTCTAGTGTGGATCAAAAGTTCTCAAGCTTTACTGTGCATAAAATCATCTAGGCAGATTGTTGAAATGTAGATTCCTAGGCTCGAATCCAAGGAATGCATGTTTAGTGAGGATCTCGGGTGGTGTTGAGGCAGATCGCCCTGTGAGCCTCACTTTGAGAAACACTGTCATCAAGACATTCTTTGGGCTTCAGGACCAGCTCACTATACCATCTCTGTTTCTTCAGACATGGATCTTGCTGGGAAGTGCCTATAGAGCCTAGTTCTTCTTAGCTCATATGTTAACATGGTTCTCTGCCATGTGTCATAGCCACATTTTAACTGTGTGTTCCAGGACCATCACATCCACAGTAGAAATTGATGGTTCCCCTGCATTTCAAACTCCAGCTTCAAAGGAACTTATCAATGGCTTAATTTACAAATGACAATATGTTTAAAATGTAGCAGTACTACTTTCAAAGAAATCATTCCCATGGCTAAATTTGAGAAAGTAATTTTTCAGAAAATATTTCCCATGGAAAGGTATGAGTTTATGGCTTAATGAAGAGATTTTGAGGTGTTTATGGAAATAAAAGGCAATGGTTAAGAGTGCTCTTGGCTCCACCACTTCGTTGCTGGGTAACTTTGGGCATGTCAATTACCTTCACAAAGCCCCCAGTTTCTCATCTATAAAATGGGGAGAATTATAGAATCTAGCTCCGAGAATCTCTGTGAGGATCAAGCAAGACATTGCAGGTCTGGCCGCTGGTCCTGTGCTTGGCACATGGTGTGCTCTCAGGAATGGCTAGCTTCCTGATATTATTTTCCCACGCGATGGCTATTGGTGTCTGCCTGCTCCGTGAAGCTGAACAGAAGAGGTGGTGCGGGGTGTTAACACAGAGGTGATTATGTAGACTTACTGAGATCAGCACTAGATTTTTGAGCTCTGGACTGAAACATTTTGAATGGTAGATGGATCAGGCGAGACCCTTCCCAGTGAGGAGTCACAGCTTTGCTTTGTGTCTGATGCCCAGAGGTGTCCTTGCATCTATTTTCAAAGATGCTGTTATGGGTGGTGATATTTTTCCATTAGTGTAGATGTCACCAAAGAGATTGCCCACTGGCCCACTCCAATGGGCTAAGACTGCTCTTTCGTTTGCAGCAACAGTAACTGCAGACCTGATGGTGCCCTTTGATGCTCTGCCTTTAAGACTCCATTTCAAAGGATTCTGATTGCTGCTGCCTGGTGTTCTCCTGGTGTCCCCAGCAGTTCACAGCTCCCCTGAGTCTTTTGAAGTTGTGGCTATCACACTGCACAGCTAAGTCCACACTTTACTCAGGGGCCATATCCGCCGTGGTGATGCAATCACCAAAAAGTCTCACAAAGGCCATTTATTATCTACCTTCTGCTAAGGTGGAAAGGTCAGCCCTTCACTGGCTCTCTGTGCATCACTGTCCCCACAGACAGCACAAGCAGTTTGCCTGGCTTACTCTTCTCGGCATTTGTGACTCCAAGTATGGAGAACTTCTTGTCACAAATGCATACTGTGAATCACAGGGCAGAGAATCCAAGCCAAGTGTTTAAGGGACAGATGTGGCAGCTTCCCTTTTTTTTTTTTCTTTTATGAGGCAACGGACAAGTGCAACAGAACCCTAATGGGGTTGGTAAAGAAAAAATTCTTCTATAAAATTTAATTACCCACAATCGCTTGGAATTAAATAGAGATTCTCCGCAAAAGAAGTATAAAAACGCAAGGTGCTATTCTTCAGTTTACAGCCTGCAAGCCACAGAGCTTGCACACGCATGGGGGAGCTGGATCGGGGACAATGTTAATGGCATTGATCAGTCTGGGCTGCTGACTTTGATGAGAAAAGGACAAATTTTACACAAGCTGCAAAGATGGCTAACATTCACAGCATTATTTTTAGCTCTGATAAACAATAAAGAAAATTCTCCTTTCCCTCTCTATGTCTGCTAAATAACTATTGTGCTCTTCTCTGTGGGGTTGGTGCATTTTTCAAAAACAGTTCAGCGATGCCATGCATGAAAGGCATCCAAAATATCACCCACCAGGAGATTTCAGCCCAGCAGATATATGGGCGTGTGGGTGCGCCCGGGAGTGATCCCACCACCTCGCTGAATTCCCAGGTTCTGCTGCCGTGAGCCCTTCTCTCCTTAAATTGTATGTTTGTTTTTATGTGTTGGCTTTTATGCTTGGTAAGTTATAACCCTGTAGGGGCAGACCCTAAACCCTATTTAAAAAAAAGCAAATTACTTTATACCCTGAGTGCATTCTGCAAATAAAATCGATAAACAGAAGCTTCCCGTGGATTTATGGAGGCTTAGAAAGAAGATGAGAGCTACAAACTCTGTATCAGACAATGGACACAACTTCTGGTTAATCCTTTCTAGTGAGTGTTTTTCATTAGAAATGCCTCCAAATGATTCATCACATAATTATATTTTGTACAACACCTTCTTTTTTCAGAACCGCAGATGATAATTGTGCTGGCCAGCTTTTTTTTTTTTTTTAACCTATCTCCCAGTTAATTTGTAGCAGCCTACGACATTACTTTTCTCTGTGTCCTAATTACTCAGTTGCTCATGAGTTGCTGCAGATGTCCCTAACCAGGCTCACTGTTGTGATTCTGCTCCTGCCCACACTCCACAGGCTCTGTTTTCTTTGGCAGCCAGAACTGTGCTGTTCGGACACTTGTCCCAGCTCCCTCATTGGTCTCATGGTGCTGCCACTTGCACATACTGGCCATTTTGCTAGGCTCTGAGGTGCATAGATAAAGTTGCTTATAGCTATAAGCCCTTGAGAAGCTTATGGTCAAATGGGGAAGAAAAATGAAAGCAGATGACTTGTAGCATCCGATCCCAGGGAATGGTAGAGCCATTTTTGCCAACCCTTCCCCACCCCAATAAAACAGTAACATATATATGCCTTCATGCATAAGTAACCAAATATTTTGCCAAACTAATAATTTGATAGATAGGTAATGCCATTGAAGAAATTTTGCAGTATAATGATAAATCCACCCTGTACTCACCCATCTCTCCAATCCCCCCTACCACAAATGGAGTAATTTCAGCAATTTTTATTGAATCTTCACTTGGGTCTAACCAGAGAGATTGATGCCCTCTCATGGGAAGGAACTATGGGAATATGCTGACAATTTCCTCATCATAAGTTTATGGTGTCTTTATTTTTCCCATGAAGCTGTAACTTATCATGTGTTGTATTTCCATTTAAGTCTATTTCTTTGAGTATTCTGAACATTTTAGTCACATAATGAATGTTTAGGATATCCTGTTAGATAAAGGGCCCTGTATGCTATAATCAGAATGCTAATTTCTTAAAAATATCATTTTAAAACATTTTGCACATATGCACATACAAATGAGAATTGAAGGGTGCATACACAAGCAAATGTGGGTCCAGATGGACACATTTACTCAATTTAGTATAAAGGTATTTTCACGTTTCTGAAAACAATAGGTGGTCTAAAATACATTCATGCAATATGGATTAGAAGCCCCCAATCATATGGTAAGTTGACACCTTTCTTCATCGTTAGGTTGGGTTAAACTGTTCTAACAAATGGTAGTACTCTTCTATTTTTTTTTCTTCAAAGTTAAAAGAAATACGTCTACTGAAATTACAAAAAAAAAAAAAAAAATGACCAAACTTTAAAGTTTTTATGGTAATTAATTACATCAAATTTACACCTAAAAGGCGTGGTGAAGTTATTAACAGATAGGTCAAAAGTAGAAAACTACAAATATTATCTGAAGGGTAAGATCAAAGATTTAAGGCCTATGGAAAATTATTTTATTCAATTAATTAAAAGCAACTGATCCACAAATTCAGAAAGCTGAGTATCCGTACAATGTGTGTTTATCAAAAAAGTAACTAGATGTGACAACGGTATTTTTATTTTCATTCTGTCTACCTTCTTGGAAATATTTTCCTGATTTTCTGAACATTTACCTAAAGCTTGTGAACGTATTGACAATGTTTACAAAAAATGCAATACAGTTTCCATTTTTGAAAAAGATACCTTTCTCTAGATTAGTAAGACATAGATGGCAATGAATGTATTTAATTAGCCTACTATATTTTAATTGGGAGAATAATTTTTAATGTTTTTGTTTCATAGTACTTTTCTGTGCTTTATCTAACTGAAATACTATACAATTTTCACATGCATGTGAATTTGAATATATCAATAAAAGGCTTATAATGCATCCACTTAATATTTGTTGACTGTCTTTCAAAACTATACTTGTGTTTTTGTAATATAGCTAATATAATTACCAAAATTAATTACAAACAAAAACAATAGAACACACTTTTCTATTTTCTGTCAGCCTTTGATCTATTTTTAATTTTTCTTCTCTCTCCCTTATTTGTATTCATTTTGATGCCCATCAATTTGTTTCTCTATTACTGTTATTTTTGCAATTTTCTGGTTCCTTTATAGCTTGTACTACTCTCTTTGATCTGCTTCCCTTCAAGCTTTATTTTTGGTCCTGTTTTTCATGTTCTATAAAAAATCTTTTTGCCCCTCTTCACTTTATTCTTTTGATTTAACTCCTTCTTAGAACAAGAACAAACTCCAGCTTTGAGTGAACAGGTAAATATTTTTGAAAGAGTAAGTCCGGAGAATCCTCGGCTTCGTGCTGATGAATAGAAATGGTTGAGAGCCTACTTCAAAGGCCCTCAAGAACAAAGAACCTTTTCTGAGGCCACTAACAAATCCACCAATTTCTTCTGACCCATCTTTGCCAAAAGATATGAGCTAACGACAGGACAGAACCGTCTTGTAAGAGTAGCCAGGCAGGCTTGGGAACAAACATATCCTTGACATAATAAGGGGAAAACATACTGTTTATCTCTTTAATAACCATCCCGAGGAAAATTAATGTTACTTTGTCCTTTGTGCAGAACAGTAATTGGATTGTGTGTTTCATTTACATCTGGACAAAGGCCAGGATATTGAAATACTTCTCAATATTAGATTTTCTTGTTTAAAAATTAGATTTTATTGGCATTCTCTTTCCGAGATTTCTTCATTAAAAGCTTCATTAAACATAAATCTCCTTTTACACAGCAGAAAACAAAATTATTTTAAGGAGGTCATTTTAAAAGCCTTTTGAAAGGGTGGTGCTAAGCTTTTGACCGAAGGCTTGTCTTTTCCCAGGGATCTGGCATTCCAGGGACAAAATCATTGACTTTGCCTTCATGTGTCTAATATTAATGACATGGATGCTTGAAGCTATATAACAAGTTACCATGTTCTAGAGTCTAAGGCTATTACAAATATGATATTAAAAAATTTGGGACTGGGAAGTATGCTGTAGAGGTTTGATTCAGTGATTCCAAACCTTGGGGGCCTCGTCTACTCTGGAAGAGATGAAGTCATCCATCAAGGAGAGAGAGTTTGCATAGCTACCGTGCTGCAAAATACAATTGAGCATTAAGTACGTTTCCGCACTTCACTTTGATTATGGCTTCTAGAAAGGTATGAGCAACAGGGAAAGTGATGGTAATACAGTTTTGCCACCTTAAAACTGATTACTCTTTACTCCCTGCGAAAAAATTGGACAGGCCCACTTCTCAGCACTGAGTTACATAATTTTCTAGGCAGAGTTTGTGCAAACCCAGTTTTATCCTTGGTCTCTTGATGCTCCGTGTTCCTGGCTCATGCCTTTTTGAGGGAAGGGAGATAATTAAATAGTTTGGTTTTAAAGGCCTTCCGCACTGGGCTGCAAGCTTTGTGTGTAAAAATAAATAAATAAATAAATAAATAATAAACAAACAAACACCATATGAGATGTCAAAAAGGGACAATCCTAATAAAGACTGAGACTATCTAGAAGAACTGAAAACCAAGATATAGATGTCCATGTCAAAAGCCTGCGAAGTGAGAACATTTATTCCATGATGACTGAAAACCGAACGTAAAACATTTATCAGTGAATATATATATATATATATTTTTTTTTTCCCAAAAGGAGAAAATAGCAACAAAAACCCCTTGAGTTTTCTCATATAAGCTTTTAATATTTTGTTAGTTTCTACCTACAATCTTTTCAAGGAAATGGCAGATGAAATGATCTCGTCTCTCCTCTGGGTGGGTGTGAGGTGGGTGTGGTGACTTAGACTCAGAAGCACTGGGGGCCCTGGAGCCAGGGCTGGGTGTGGAGCAGGAGCTCAGAGGAACCGGATTCTGTGGCTGCAGAAGCCAGGATGGGTTGGAAGCACCTCATTTGGAGAGAAGGTAGAACCAGAACTGGATTCTAGGCCATATGTCAGCAGGAGTCAGGGCAAGAAGCAAAATGGAGCAAGGAGGTGTCAGGAAGTGACACCTGGAAAAGTCTCCAAGGCCACTGCCACAGCTTATGAGGCATCAGAATGAGCCCCGTGGGGCAAGAGCAAGATTGTGAGGTTGTGCAGCTGGTCCACGCCCTCCCTCCCCAACCCTATGCTCAAAGTGATGCTTTTCTTGGGGTCTCCTGCTGGAAAGCCTTTACTCCCTGGCTGAATGTGGGTCAGGAGTAATCCCCACAAGCATGCCTTCAAACCATCTCTTCCCAGGGTGTAAACACTCCTGTTTCTCTACAGGTTGCTGGGTGCAGGGTGCAGAGAGGGTTGGCAGGGGTCTCACAGAGCACAGGGCAGTTGAGGTCTGAGTAACTTCACAGGCAAGATGGTGACTGGAATCAGATGGTTATGAATCTTGGACAGCTACCTGATCACTCCTTCCACATCTCCCTCCTCATTAACCTCCTTCAAATAGCTGGTCCAGGGAGTCTAATGAATTCCATGACAACTGATAAAAAAGAAAATGGCATCTTTCTGGTACAGAAAGAGTGTGAAAAAAATGTTAAAAAGGAGCAGCCAAAATGACCATAAGATAAATAATATTCACCAGAGAAGTACTCTGTGAAGCAGAACAAATATGAAGGAAGTACAAAGAGTTTAATGAAGCATGCTGTCTCTGCAGGAAGCCCACGAGGCAGAAATGCAAGGACTGAGGCTTTGAAGGATGCAAGACAATGGGAACATCGCCGGGGATATGGAAGCAGTCAGAGGTACCTTAGTGGGCTTTAATGTACTCTTACTGGTGCAATACAGAGAAAGTGGATGGAAAGAAGGTCAGGGTATAGAAGACCCAAGGGGCATGATTATTAAGGCAGATATGAGTGTCACGTATTAAACTCTGTGACCTGTCAATACAGTGTCTGTTCCCTGACCATCCAACAGTGCAGTTCTTGGAACTCTTGTCCATCTATATCTGCCTGTCTGGTCATCTCATCCAGTTTCACGGCTCCAAACAGTCCATGTGCTCACACCTCTGGCTGAAATTCTCCCCTGAACGTTTGCTTCTTATATTCATCTGCCCACTCCAAAATTCCACGTGGATGTATGACAGGCATCATAAGCTAAACATGTCACAAACTGAACTCCTGACACCCCATGTCTGCCAACCAGCTGCTCCTCTTAAAGTCATCACCATATGGTAAGTGGGGATTCCACTCTATTGAATAGCTTGGGTCACACCTCACATCCCATCCATAGTCAATTCAGCTCAACCCGCAAAGACTCCGGAATCTAACCATTTCTCATCACCTCCTCTGCTGCTCCCTAATCCAAACTGCCACCACTGCTGAATTCTCTGGCCTCTCCACCTCTGTCCCAGGCCCCTCACGTTCCATTCTCTTGCAGAGTGATCCCACGTCACTCTACTGCTCAAACCTGTAAGTGCCTTCCCCTGTGTGAATAAAATCCAAAGTTTTACAATGACTCGCAGCTGTCTTTGTTACCTCTCCTACAGCATGGCTCTTGCTGCTCTCCCTCTCACCTCCTCTGTTCTGGGATCATGCCAGGAATGATGTCTCCTGCCTCAGGGCCTTGGCACATGCTCCAGTTGCCCACATGGCACACTCCTTCACTGCCTTCAGATCTTTCCTCAAATATGGGAACTGTTCTTTAATGAAGACAATATTAGGACATGCCGACTTTTAAGAGCCGTAGACAATGAAGGTTCAAAGCAAAGACTGACTTAGGAGACATCATAACAATGATAACTGTTTGCATTAGTGCCCCATACTACAAGTATATTTACGTTATGAAAACAACACTGTGAATGGATATTATCATCCATATTTTTCAATGGGGTGCGAAAGCTCAAATAAGCTGCCTCTTCCAAGGTCACACAGCCAGTAACTTCTAGAACCAGGAAGTGCAGGCTTCACTTCAGTTTTGTGACCCCAGAACAAGTATTCTTGCTTTTCTATATTGAAATTTATTATATAATGATAATAATAATAGTAATAATGGAAACGATAATAAAAATAATAATAGCAGTGATAGCAGCTAGTGCTTCTTGCAAACTCCATACAAAGCACCGTTTTAAGCCTCTTACATGCATTCATTAATTTTATCCTTGCAGACTCTTAGGAGGAAAGCACTATTATTTTCTGCAGTTTGCAGAGGAGGAGACAGAGTCAGTACCAGGGTAGATAACCTGTCCAAGGTCAACCAATGGTAAAGGCAGAACCAGGATTTACAGCCAGATGCTGGGTTCTTAACCACCACCCGAAATCCCTGCTTTGTCTTCTAACATTTTCTCTCTGCTTTTGCTAGACATGCTAGATAGTGTACAGTTGGACAGGAGTGAATTCTCCAGTTGGGTAATTAGAGATCAACTGTACCCACCAAAGATGTCTTGAAAGCATATGTAGTTGAAGAAATACCATCTTTAAATGGAGGTTAAGTGTGAAAAATTGCAACATAATCAATAACTGTCAGAGGTTGTAAGCCAGTTCAGGAGAGGCTTGTGGCCCCTGAAATATACCATTGATCACCTTTTCTAAGGTAGATGTTTTGTCTCTAATGGAGATATACGGTACTGCAGATTAACTTTTCACTCCAGCAGCCCTTGCATTTCTCCAGAGAAGAGCCTGGCAGGGAGAGGAGCAAGAGCTTGCCTTACCTGGGGTGATTGTAGGCAATCTGCTTGAACTCATTGTTCCAGTTGGGCCTCCCATAGAAGGTCTTCTGCTTTAAGCCTGTAATCACGTCAGTATTTTCGTCCCAGTGTAAAGCTATGTGAAGAGCCTAAAGTAAATTTGTGGCATTAGATGACATTTAGAAAAAAAAAATAAGACTTCTATAAATAAAGAATAAAGTAATCATGTTCATTTGTAGATTTAATTAAAAATGTGTACAGGGCTGGCAATGCTTATCACTATTTGCAGATGTCTCCAATGCTGCACTTTAGGGCAAGCATCATATCTCATTTATGTCTGAATCAGGCCTTGTTGGAACCAAGTGCCTCTTTATACCTAGTAGATGTGCAATAACATTAACCTAGAAAGAATATTTTCCTTTAAAAGGATGAAAGTAATATAGTAAATGTGGTTAAGAGAAAGCAAGCACTAAACGACTTCCTTCTTTTCCTGCCAAACTTTTCAACAATTAATGTCTACCTGCTATCCCCTTTCACTTAACATTGGCTCCTGGGGAGTTGAGAAGGGCATTGCCAGATTAAAGTGGTATGAAATGTCTGGGAAGAAACTGCATCTTACAATGAGACCTGCCTAGTGGGTTTAAACGGTGTGATGTATACTGTCCAGTTTCAAGTGCTGGGAGGATGTGGAGCCTGGCAGGCGGAAAATGGTGGCCAGAGCCTGGCAGGCGGCTTGGCTGGAGATCTGTGCCTAATCATTTGCCTTGGAATTAAGCAACTCCATCCAGGCGTCATGTAGCTAGTGGTCAATAAATGACAGCCCACAGCATAATCCCTTGTGATCATTTTTGTTTGTTTGTTTTTGTTTGTTTGTATGTTTTTGTGTTTTTTGAGACAGAGCCTTGCTGTGTCACCCAGGCTGGAGTGCAGTGGCGTGATCTCGGTTCACTGCAATCTCCACCTCCTGAGTTCAAGCGATTCTCCTGCCTCAGCCTCTCGAGTAGCTGGGACTACAGGTGTGTACCACCATGCTTGGCTAATTTTTTTTGTGTGTGTATTTTTATTGGAGACAGGGTTTCACTGTGTTAGCCGGGATGGTCTCGATCTCCTGACCTCATGATCCACCCGCCTTGGCCTCCCAAATTGTTGGGATTACAGGCATGAGCCACTGCACCTGGCCATGATCATGTTTTAAGTTGCTGTCATTTATTTTAGCCCCTTCTGCATTCTGGTAGCTACCTTGCTTCTCACTTCTGGGGATCTGTGTTCCCAGTGCTCATCCCTTAGACCCCTATGTGGTGCTCTATTCATTCTCACCCTCTGACTCATCCTGACCCTGACCAGTTTGGCTAACAACCTTGCTGGGTGCAACTCATGCCCCAGGTTCCCACTGTAAGCCTGACTTTCCTGGCTGACCTTCTCTCCAGTCTAAAAAAGTAGTTGAATCTAGGGAGGTTCAGCTGAAAATAGTGGAAGTGTCCCAACAGGTCAGGAGACAATGGTAGGTTAGATCTCAGAAATCCAGGCCAATTATATAAAAAAGACTCATATGTTCATCACAGCAGTACTCACAATAGCAAAATCATGGAACTAACCTGAGTGTCCATCAACAGTTGACTGGACAAAGAAAACGTGTTATATACATACTGTGGAATACTATGCAGCCATAAAAAGAATGAAATCATGTTCTTTGCAGCAACATGGGTGGAGCTGGAGGCCATTATCCTAAGTGAACTAACTCAGAAACAAAAAACGAAATACTCTATATTCTCACTTACAAGCAGCAGCTCAACAATGGGCACACATGGACATAAAGATGGGAATAACAGGCACTGGGGGCTCCAAAAGGGGGGGAGGGTGAGAAGGGAGTGAGGGTTGACAAAGAACCTACTGGGTATGATATCCACTGTTTGGGTAATGGGTAACCCCACCAGTATGCGCTATACCCATGTAACAAATGGGCACACGCACCCTCTGAATCTAAAAAATAAAGAAAATATAAAAAGAAATCCAGGTCGTAGGAAGTTGTGAGCAGGCAAGTCTGACACCAGGTGGCAGAGCTACTGCTGGAAAAGAGTTGGGGTATAGGACTCCGAGCAAAAAGAAGGTGGGGAACAGTGGCAGAGGGTGTTAAGTGACACGCCAGGTGTGGGGAGAGAACGAGCAAAGCCATGGACGTGTGACTGTGCACAGTGTGATGGGTGAACACGCATCCTTTGGTGGCTCTGGTGCCAGAGGAAACCGATGGGGGTGGGACACAGCTAGTGAGTGGGAGTCAGGCTGGGAAGGGTCTTAAGGTCCTTGCTGAGAAGTTCGGGCACCATTTCACACACAAAAAGGGCCTTCCCTACTTACACTTGTGGTACCGCCAATCACTGATGTTCAAACATTTGGAATGATATTTGTCCCATATTTCTCAGCCCAATGTTCAATTAGTCTCCAAACTCTGTTGATTTACCCTTCACAATACCTCTTCCATCTGTCCCTTCTGTTCTTGTCATTTTGCCACTTTGAGGTTGTTGAATTCAGTTTAACAATTGGGTATTTCTAAAACAGCCTCTTGATTCTTTCCCGACAGAATGCACCAATTATTTTTCCTTTAAATGTGGAAATTAGTGATTTTTCTGCCTGAAATTTAGGAGTCGAAATAATTTTCAACATGTCATGGCAAAAATGTAAGACATCTATTTTAATCTACTTGTGTTTAGAAAAAAAATATATGTTTTATAGCATATTCTTGGAAGTAGTAGAGACGGGAGGGGGCAGGATTGTGTTGTCGCCAAATCAACTTCAGTTCTCAGTTATGAGAACCTCAGTCCCACAGCTCCCAGTTGGCAAGGAATACCTAGGTGCACACTGGGATCAATGCACCTTAGAGTAGAAGAGCAGGCACAGTACTTGAGAGCAGAAGACAGAAGCTGTCTCTACTTCACCAAACTGTTCATCAGTCAAAAATCCCACTTGAATAAGGAAAGTGTTTGTTTGGAAAACATAATTAACACTATATAATTCATTAAGATGTTTCAAGCCTAGTTCCCAAGAAAGCTACATTTCAAATTATCCCAAAGGATTAAATATTTAAGAAGGACTGCAAATAAGACCATAAAAATTCATTAAGCTACTGAATTTCTAGCAGAGTCTTATTCATTTGCAGAAGCAGAGTCAAATTACAGTGATGTTCTATAAGGCCAGTGTGTGTGTGTGTGTGTGTGTGCGCACGCATGTGTGTGTATGTGTGATGTACATACACAGAGCATTCATTTGTAAATGTAGTGATTAATGTCAATCTCCCAGGCTCAAATACACTTTCCTTAAAAGTATATATCAATAATAGCTGCTGATTAGAATATATATTGTGTAACCTAGTAATCACTTCGTTGTTAATTCCCCTGTTTGAGGAGTTAAAATGGATTACAATGTAGTAGTTATCATTCAATAGTATCAACATTGAAATACTACCATAGTCAATATTTTGGTATACATTATTTTTGGTAAATTCAATCTTAATATTTCATTAATACAATATACTGCAGAACACCTGCCAAAACAAAAGATCATCTTCATCTTAGGTAAATAAACATACGTGCACACAATTTCTAAGAACACCTTAAGAGAACAAACTCTGGACAAATCATGTATTCATAATAATTATTTTCTATAGATGCTCACATACTTCACAATACAAAATGTTGAATGTAAACACCTAGGAATCTTTTTTGCTTAGCTCTGAACAGCTCAAGGCACAGAAACAGAACCAGTCAGGAACTCAACAAGATGATACAGCCAATCAGTAATATTCATTTGATGTCACTTTTAAAGGGACAAATGCAAATTTGTTTGGGATTTCCAGCCTCTGGATTGTCTTCCATTGTCTGACCCTTTCTATTCCTCAGCAAGTTAACTGTAGCTTCTTTTTTTGGTTCTTTGATTGTTACAACTTGAATCACTCTTGCTAATCTGGTTTTATTTTATTCTCCTTTCCCTTTTAAGAACATAAAAATAATTCTGTCATGCTATCAGAGTGCTACATAGCTCATTATTGAAATTGTTCCTCATTGCTATTAGATGAGTTCAGCAATATTGCTTATTCTCAGAGTCTTATCAGTACCTGATTTTCATCCCAGCCGGTAAGAAATATATGATAACTCAGAAAGTGAGTTTTCCCCTGCTCACTCATCCGTGTTTCCAGGGAGAGTAAGAGATCAGCAAACCACTCAAAAGCTCTTGCATCCCGGCAAATCCAGTAGAAATACACCTGTCAAGAGAGAAGGCAAGTGAACGGATCTATTCTCTTTTCATATGTGCTGATAATCACAGACTACTTTATCTCCATTAAATTATTTGAGCCCAAATGGGCACTTCTGCAAAATAACATGCTTTTTTTTGTGTGTGTCAGTGAACAAACAGTCACACTGTGATTTCTTTTGAAAAAATTCACAATGTGTTTGAAAAAGCCCAGAGTGAATTCAGAGAGTCAGGAGCCTGTGGGCCGTGCCAGTTTCTCTGGATGAGGATCAACTCACCACATTTCTGGCTGTGCTGCTTCTGAACAAGATTAATAATCATAACTAGCTGTGCCTTTCACTGCTCCCAAAGGGGGATAAACCGTTAGACCAACCCCTTCATCTTTACTTATGACCTAAGCTCTGGATTTGAACTTTCTTCTCCAGAGACCCCAAAGGCTTGGACACTAATCCACTTCACTAGCTACGGCCTCTGGAGAGTGGAGATTATGGTAATTTCAGAATCAAGTCACACAGGCCAGAAATTTCCTCTCAGTGAAACATATCGGTGTCCAAGAAAGCTGGTGGGTGGCGGCTGTGCCTGTGTGTCAACTGCTATAATGAAATTATGACTGGGAAGAATTATTTTTTTAACTCTCGGTATTAAGCAAATGGCATGTGACAAAAAGTAGCTTGGGTTTGCTAAAATAAAAGCTTAGTTTTTGTGCTGCGAGTTTCAAATAATTGCATCTAGAAGAAACCACAGGAGATAAATCTATTAATTCTCCCATTTTTCTCACACTCCCACCCCTTGCTGCCCACACCTCTCTCTCTCGTGCCTTCTCCCCAAAGAGACATCTGTATGGCTTAACAATATCCATGAGGGCTGGTCTTGATTCCAGCTGCTGCCTGGTAAATCCCCACCTGGAAATACCTCATCCAGTGATCAATGTTCTCTTCTCTCCCTCTCTGCCGGCCAGCTTGTAAGCTCACGATCATATAATCAGAGATATAAATGAGATTTAATGAATAGATCAAATTCATGAGACAAAAATAAAAAAGTTTATCTCAAAGCTAAACATCTTGTCTATTCTCTTCATGTTTAGGCAGGACTTTATAATATTAATTATTTGTAAGAGTAAAAGATGCTGAGAATAAGGCCTCTTCTTTCAAAAACTGGGCCCACATATTTGTTGGACAGCTCCTGTTCACAAGGGGACTTAAGATACTAATTTCAGGACAAATAATCCCTCAGTCTCTAAGCACAATGACCTGCTTTTCTCAGGAAGAGAGAGGGTTGCCTTTCCTTTCCTGACACTTATTTCTTCCTAGGGATGATCTCTGCACAGCCTCTCCAGGCAGAGCTAAGCCGGGGTTCCCTTTGTGACACCCTCTGAATCCCCATGAGCAAGGGGCTCACGTTCATCCATCCGTTCACTGATTCAACAAATATGTATTGAGTGCTTCCTACCTGTCCAGACTCTTCTGTGCTCTGGAACTATACAAGTGAACAAGACAGGGCCAAAAAAAATTGCTGTCCTCTTAAAATTTGCATCTTAGAGGGAGAAGGAAGATGATAGATAAGTAGAATATAGGTTATGTCAGATGGTGAGAAGTGCATGCAGAAACCCCAGGCGGGTTAGAAGTGTTGCAATATTAAGTTGAATGGTCAAACGGGGGCTCAATGAGCCCTCTCTTGTTTTTGGCCTCTTGTGTTCACTTTTATAATTCCAGGGAGTAGAACAGTCTGGAGACATAGGAGGCATTCAACACATATTTGTTGAATCAGTAATGGATGGACATGAACCATCAATTCGTGGAGATTCATGTCCCCTCTTCATGAGAAGGGGACATTGGAGCAAAGACCTGGAAAAGTTGAGGGAGTCAAATGCTTAGGTGGGAAGTGCAGATGCAGATGGTGGGAAGTGCGGAGGTCCTGAGTGAGACCTTTCCAGGAAGAGCCTGGAGGCCTGTGTGGCTGGAGCCCAGAGAGGGTGGGGAGAGCAAGGAGATGGGCGAGGGGAGGGCTGGGGGAGCCATGGCGTTGTAGGGCTTTGGGGCCGTTGTAGACTTTCCCTCCGAGAGACAGGAAAGCACAGGGAGTTGGCGAGCAGGGAGTTCCATGGCCCGCAGCAGGTGGCAGGATCTCTCTGGCTGCTGTATTGAGAATAGACCCAGGGTATGGAGGGTGGGGGAGGAGGAAAGGAGACCAGTTAGGGGTGGATTTTATATTCGAGGTTGGTGATGAATACCACTATCTGCTTTCTTTTCGCTTTGTATTGTGCCTAATCTAAATTACTCTTTGAAAACCTTAGCTTTCATTTTGCCTTGCTTTGCTCTGGGTGGAAATGAAAAATCTACTGGCTGAATTAATGCAGTGCTCACCTATGCATGACCCCCTCCTCCCTGGCCTTGGTAGCCTGTTTCATCTCAGAGTTGGCATTGGGCATAGAGCAAATATCATTGATTTATTTTCTCTCTTTCCCATTCTTTAAGGAACATGCTTAAAACACATTCATAGATGGATAATAAACCAGAACATTTGCTTTATAAAAAAATCCTCCAATTTCAAATCTAGTCCCAGTCGTCCTTTCTTGAAAACTATCCCCATCTTAGCTTCCTCCGTACATGAAACTTTATCTTTTCAAATAGAAATCCTTCCTTACTTTCTCGTGGCCTAGCTGCATGTCAGCGTCCTTAGGGTTTGTCAAGCCTTTTATACTTTTTGCTTCCTCGTAATGGCTTTGTGTGTTTTTCCCTCCGTAATTGACTTGTAAGTGACACTGGGCAGCTTTGGTGTAAGAGGCTATGGAGGAAAAATGGATAGGCTCAGTAGAAGTGTTTCAGGCAGAAAAAGAAAGAAAGGGACTTTGAACAGAAGCAAAAGGTATTTACTTTGACTTTCTTTCATCTTTCTAATGGTGGGGGACACTCACTGGGAAGGGACATAAGAGTTCCAAGTCTGCATTTCGCCCATGAGAAAGGACCTGGTCAATGAGAGACCAAGTATCCCAAACAATAGGCTACAACTCTGTGATCTGTGCTTTCCAATGCTCACCCCACCTTAGTCTCCAAAAATAAAACAACCCTGAAATCAGCTACCTGTAGAAAGCATGCCTTTTCAGAATTTCATAGCTGATCTCAGAGACCAAAAATACCTGAGTTTACTTTAAAAGATTTTATTAAATAGAAAGTCATTCTCAGTAAAATAACAAAAGTTCTGAACTTTCATAGTAATAAAATTATTTTTTTTTACAGGACTCATCCAACACTTTTTTTTCTTTTCTTTTCTTTCTTTTTTTTTTTTTTTTTTTTTTGAGAGGGAGTCTCTCTCTGTTGCCCAGGCTGGAGTGCAATGGTGGGATCTTGGCTCACTGCAACCTCCACCTCCCGGGTTCAAGTGATTCTCCTGCCTCAGCTTCCCAAGTAGCTGGGATTACAGGCATGTGCCACCATGCACGACGAAGTTTTTATTTTTTAGTAGAGATGGGATTTCACCATGTTGGCCATGCTGGTCTCGAACTCCTGACCTCAAGTGATCCACCCACCTCGGCCTCCCAAAGCGCTGGGATTACCAGCATGAGCCATCGTGCCCAGCCACATTCTTGTAGATATAGTGGATGCCTAGATGTTTTGGGAGACCACTCTGGGACTGTCATGGCGTTGAGGGTTTCTGTGTGCATGTGGCCCGTCATAGACCTTAGTTTCACATCATTCCCAAGCGCTAATGATCAGCCCAAACTCAGCCATGTCCATTTGCAAGGGGCTTGGGTCTGAGCGACAGTCACAAGTTTGGGCTCTCTGTGTGTCCCTTCTCATTTTCATGTTTTCCCAAGCCAAGGCTTCTCTTTAAGAATTCTTCAGCAGCACATAGGGACCAGGTCAAAGAGGTCTGGGGCCAGTAGGAAATGGAACTGTGCTAAATTTTGATAAACAGTTTCAGAAAATGAATTGAGAAGCACTACCAATCTGTGTTACTATGAGAGCTCAGACTCTCTAATCAAAGTTGGATGCTTTCAGGCGATTACATCTCCAAAACTTGTGCCGTATCTTGAATAGATATCCATGAACACAGGCAGAGGGCACTTTCACAAATGCAATCTGTATGTCTTTATATCCAAAATAAATTTCCAGAGAATGAAACAGAAAAAAAATTATTTACCTATGTATTTATTTATGGCCCAGAACCCCTCTAAACAAGGAAAGTGTACACAAGAATACAGGTTTAGGATATAGTGTAGCATGGTACAACAGCTCAGCGTTGTGAGCCTATGAAGCCCATCTGCTGTGGTAGACTGCTGCTGGCTTCACCATGCAGGTAGAAGTTGCAAATAACTTGTGCAACTGGGCAAAAGTTATTTAACTCCAACCTAGATTACTGCGTATGTAAAATGGCAATAAACACAGAACAATAGCTCCTGAGGTTATTGTGAGGATGAAAGGATATGTTTTACTGAAGCATTTAATGCAACGTCTGGCAGACACAGTAAGTGCTCAGAAGATGTTAGCTGCTATTGTTACTATCCTTGTTTGTCATTTGGAGGAGCTTAGAGAATGAAGAATGAAGACAGTATATTATAGAGCAAAGAGGGACATGCGCCTTGCTTGGCATGTGTTCCCACTGGTCACTCCTGGTCACTGAGAAGGGAAGCCAAACTTGACCTCTAGCACCAGTGTCAGAAGCAGAATCTCAGCATTCATCATGAAGATGTGCTCCATGAAGGGGAAGCCCCTCACCAGGCTCGGTGTGTGCTAAACTCACCTAGAGGCGTTTTACAGGGAGCCAGGGGCCCACCTTGACCATCGCCTCCTCAAGGAGAAGGGCAGTGGCTTGCAGTGCCACCTGCCTCCTGCTGGGCAGCACGCCTCTGTACCCCACACTGTGCAAAAGAAAGAACAGAACAGACAGAAGCTTGAAACCAGCAGGATGACAGAAGCTCTGCATAGAGGGGAATCAGGATCATTTTCCAAAAGGAGAATTTCTCTCTGTGAAAAGATAAAGACTGGTGTTTAGAAAATATATTACCTCCTCAATAAATGATCACTCTTATTGTCCTGGTTTTTATTTTGTTTTTGTTAAGGGAATCCTGGATTAATACAATAGCAAATAAGAAGAAATAAAAGAAGAAATATTTCTTCTTAATGATAAGCCTACCTAATGTGTAAAAGTTCTAGTTTAAAGTGATACAGTTATAAAATTGTTTTTCTGGTGAACCATTATAAGGCCAAGACCAGGCTTTGTCAATAATTTTTCATCCTTAAGACATTTTCTGAATGTGATTATCCTCAATGTTAACTATTTCATGACTATATTGCTACTTCGCCCTGTGGCTGAGGACTGATCTCTTTTGGGCCTCCGTTTGGTCTAATTACAGTTAATAATCCTTGTTGGACAACTGAAACATCTGAAACATTCTTTTTTTTTTTTTTTTTTTTTTTTGAGACGGAGTCTCGCGCTATCCTCCAGGCTGGAGTGCAGTGGTGCAATCTCAGTTCACTGCAACCTCCACCTCCCAGGTTCAAGCAATTCTTATGCCTCAGCCTCCCGAGTAGCTGGGATTACAGGCACCTGACACCACGCCCGGCTAATTTTTGTATTTTTAGTAGAGATGGGGTTTTGCCATGTTGGTCAGGCTGGTCTCCAACTCCTGGCCTCAGGTGTTCCGCCCACCTCGACCTCCCAAAATGCTGGGATTGCAGGTGTGAGCCACCACACCTGGCCTGAAACATTATTTAATAGCAGAATGATTCCATAAATTGTGGCCTATCCACACTATGGAATACTCTAAAGACACCAAACAAAATGAAATAGATCATCAGGTATTGACACTGACGGTGCCCGAAGTTATGCTTTAATGAAAAACAAAACAAATTACACTTCCTCTGCCTTCTACACACACACACCCCTATTTATGCATGAATGTGTATAGGTATATGCATATAAATGCATGGAAAAGGAATGGAATGAGACATATTCAACTGTTTAATGGTGAGTTTCTTAGGGAGCAAAGTTGGGGAGGTGTTTAGTTTGGGGAGGGAGGTGAAGGGAGATTTTAAAATGTTTGTGTATTTCATTGGACTCTTTTGCAAGAAGACTGTAGTCACGCAATCTGTGGTTAATAAACCAAGATATTAAACATATTAATACTGGTCACTTCCGCACAGAGCAATGGTGAGGGCTGATGGGGTACTGAGGCCTTTTGAGGCCCTCCGAGGAAAGACAAGAAGCATACATTTCTTTAGGAGAAGCATGAATGGCCCCTCCTAAAGAGGCCAACTGATGGCAGGAATCTTGGTGATTAGTAGAGATGATCAGTTCCAGGAGTAGTCAGAGCTCCAGTGTGAGGGAAAGTGAAAGTAAATAATTTCTCAAAGTAAACAGATTAAATTAAATGCATTTTTCATTCACTAGAAAAGAGAGCAGGCCCTCCTTTGTTTTATTAATATATTTTAGTAGAGTATGGATTTTTTGTCTTTTTTGGCCTCTTTCCCTTGTTCCCACTGGCCCGTGCTGTCTTTTTATTTGAATTATCTGTTTATTATATTAGGTTAAGAACCCAAAGGCCATTTTGCATGGGACACACTATAAATACCCATTATCATGGTTATATATTATGGAGCTGATGAAGGAAGACAATTTATGAAGAAATGAGATTATCTCAGTTCTTGTATAATCTGTTGTATCGTAGTCTGAAGACTACATATGCAGTTAAGAAAACGAACCGCATCTTGCAGTTGGCAGTTGTCTCAGTCCTGACTGCACAGCTGTGATATTAGGGAGAACTAAAATGTGTAAGCCAATCTATTTATGTCAGCAATCCTCCCCCTCCCTCCCCATTCATACACACCTATTTCATTCATCATTTTGACAGTTTGCACAAGCAAACCGTCCTAATTTTTTTTCAAGAGCTCTTTTCACAAATTGAGTGTGATGTAGAATTAATCATACCCGTTAGGCAGGAGGTGGAGGACTTTATTGCTAGAGGGCATTTTTCACCCCCAGCATTCAGCTTCCTCCATATTGCATCACAGAGAATTCTCAACCACCCTCAGCCTTCCCTCATCCCACAGGGGCACAGCGTTCTCAGCTGCCTTCAACTCAGTGAAGTTTGGCTCTTACTTCTGCGTTGAAAATATTTCTTTCATGTATTACAACTTTTTTCCATTTTCATCACAGCAAGCCATCATTATACTTCTTGTTATTTGGCCTTCTTGGGAAATCCCCTCCTGCCCATTCTTCCCCCTCCCCTTCCACTCCCCGCCCCCTCCCAGATCTTTCAAAACAAAAGTACTTAGAAACAAAGATATTTTAAGACATCAGCTTCAAATGGAAAGTACTACTTATGACGCTTCCCACTGAGGAAGTGGCAGGCGCCTTATTGGTTGTGCTCCTGCATTTTACTTAGAAGTTTTCTAGAATAATGCAACAGAGGAGAAGGGTAAAGAAGTTCTAGTTTGCAACGGTGACAATTGAGAAAACTTTGGTGCACATTTTTTCCTATAGACTTGCAACTTGAGTTTTGTGTGTAAAAATGTATGCCTTATGCCAACCAGTGTTTTTACACATGGAGGAAAAAAAAATCCCACCTAATCGCAGTTAACCATTTAAGCTTAAAATTCTGGCTCTCAACGCCTATGCGAGTTGTCCTTTCCTTCCTTATTACAAAAGAGGACAATCTGAAAACTATAGTCCAGACTTAAAATTGTGAAGACACCGTTAGATAAATATGTACTGCTTTGCTCTGTGGCACTTCAAAAATTATATAGACTCTGACAGTTTAGTGGAAGGAGTAGTCTTTATATCTCAAAAGCATGTAGGTAGCCCTGACAAATATTAGTTACATAAGCCTAATAGTAGCTATACTCAAACCAACACAAAGTTGCTTTAAAAGAGAGAAACTTCCTAAACCTGTTCTCATGCCTGCAGACGCTTAAGGAATTGGATCTGAACTGTAATTTTCAGCCCAAACTTTCAATAGCATGAAAACCTCACTTCTTCCATGAAAGAACTTTGAAGCAGAAATCAGAAACACATGCTCAGGTCCTGACTCAGTGGTGAACAAGCTGGGTGACTTTGGACAAATCATCTCCGCTCGAGGTGCAGATACTGACTTTCATGGTCCTATGCAAAGCTAGGAGATTAGGACCTTTAAGTTATTTTATGATTCCACACTTTAGCTTCCTTTCTCCCATATGACATTATTTCTGCCCTTATTTTCACCTGAGTCGTGTCCAAATAGTCCCTCACATTTTTATAAGCGATGAAAACATTGCTTTTATATTTTTTACTCTACTGTTTCTGTTTCTTGGAATAGAGATCAATGTCCCTATTTTATGGTTTTGTGGTGACTGCAGTGCTGAAAGCCTTGAGAAACGCCACAAGCAGAGCCCAGGAATGACAATGGAATGCTGAGAAAGGAGGCAAAATTAAGATTTTGTAGGCTCCTGTATGAATTTTAAAATTTTTGGGGGTTCTTATAAGATTTTTCCTCTATATTCCTAGTAAAATAATTGGAATTTAGTAAAAATCATTGAAGAATTTTTTTGGTTACATAAACAAAACCTTAATACCCTTAAATTTTAAAGAAAATTGTGTACAGAAGCCATTGTTTATTCTTTTTGGACATGTAGACATTTATTCACTCATTGATTTATTCAATATTTTTACTATATATATAGTTATCACATGTTGTATGTGTATATATATATATGTATGAAGATATCCAGAGAAGCTATGTTCAAGGAACTCACAGTCTGTTAGAGAAAATAAGATTATTTCACGAATCTTAATACAGGAAAGATATGTGACATAACAGTAGGGCAGCAAAGGAGTGGTGGAGGTTAAGAGAAGGGGGAGGTGATTGTGAGTCGGGTGTAATGACAATGAGACTTTGCATGTCTCTGAGCAGGACTTGAAATATTAGTTGGATTAGTGAGTGAATGAAAATGAGACACGCTATCCACCACCATCTTCCTGTGAAGCATGAAGTGACTTTTAGTGTCGTGGAAACCATGAAGCAGTGAGCCACCTCTCTGAGTGGGATTTACTTGGTAGGCAGCAAGAGGGAAGGAAGAACTTAGGGTGGCTGAAAAATCATCACGAACCAAAACAAAGCATTGCTGTGAGGTCCAAATATCCCAGTCACTGTTTTGCTTGCTTTGTTAAATATATTATGGCGTAGAGGAAAGAAGATGAGCTTTGGTGCCAGAAGGATCTAGATTCAAACTCTAGTTCTAGTATTATTTAGCTCTCTGTGTGTCAGGGTCCTCATCAGTATTGAGAATATTACCTATCTGAATGAGCTATTATGAGCATTTAGTAAAATGACTGTCATTTCTATTAGCTTTGTGATCAGGCCTTAGTTTTCTCATCTGTAAAATGGGAATAAAAATGATAAGTATGACGAAAAGATGGCATGAGATAGTGCATGTAAAATGCCCAGTTTCCTTCCTGTTAGGTAGTCAGTGCTTGATAAATCTAGGCCATTAGTAATAGCAGTACTGGTAACCTATTTATACCTTTGGTAGATACAATCAGCATTTAGATAATCATCTATATTTCTGTATACACATTTCTATGGTAATATTTCCATATTATTTGTCTTATTTAGCATTAAAACTCCCTGTTGGATATGGATTCTTATTTCTCCGTTATGTGGATCAGGAAACTCAGCTCAGAGAGGTGAACTGCAGGCAGTATTTCAGTCAGGGTGGAATCAGGCATGTTCTTTGATGACAGCAAAATTCAGGTGCCGATTCTATGAGCAGGAATCCCACCGTCTTCCTAAAATATTGCTCCAGGGTTGCAGGAGGAGCTGGGGGTCACGTCTACCATGTGTTGGTTTTGTCATGGAAAGAGCCAGATGAACCTAAGTTTGAATCCTGATTCTGCCTTTGATTACCCATGTCTTTTCAGGAAAATCAATTTAATCTCTCCAAGCTTCAGGTTCCTTACCTGGAAAACAGGCCTTGTGTTACTTACTTTATAAGGTTGTTGGGGAGATTAAAAAATTCAAATGAGAAAATGTATGTCAAGGACCTGTCACTTGGAAACTCATGAAATAGTTAACTGCTGTTTCTTAGTTGGCAGAGACCCGAGTTTAGAGATCTTCTAGCCCTCATTGCCTGGGATGCTTCACAGAATACGAATTCTTGATAGGTGTTAGGTGAGGAAAGGTTCTGTAGCTAAATAAGCTTGGGAAAGATAGATGAAACAAAACTGAATGAGGATCTTTTCTGCGGAACTTTTTTTAGAGACAGAGTCTCGCTCTGTTGCCCAGGCTGGAGTGCAGTGGTGCGATCACGGCTCACTGCTTTGAACTCCCTAATATTTAATTTTCTTGCAGAGATGATGTCTCTCTATGCGGCCCGGGCTGGTCTAGCGTCAAACTCCTGGCCTCAAGTGATCCTCCCACTTCAATCTCCCAAAGTGCTGGGGTTACAGGCATGAGCTACTGCGCCCCACCCCCGCAGAACTTATTTAATGGCTAGTGGATGATGTCTTCTAGAGTGGGATGTTGCAGGAGCGTTGCTTAAGTTCCTTTGACTACGGAATTCTCTCTAGTGGATCATGTCAGGTGACAGATGTCCCATGGTTTACACATTGAGACCTGGTGGTTAAGTCAAGCGTCTCCCTTTGATAGATGAGGACACTGTGGACAAAGGGTTAAGCAGAGAAGATATGCAGGACGGCCCAGCACCAAGCTCGTCTGCCATCCTCACTCCTCCTGCATTCATACGGCTTTGGGTTATCAGGGCTCTTTGCCTACCATTGCTCTAGTGCCTGCTGCTGGTCCTAAGAGGGTCCAAGTATCGGATGGAGTGTCTAGATACGACAAAGGACGGAAAGAAATTCTAGAGGCATCTAGTTGTAAAACATACAGGAAATGACAAAAGGGAGATTCAGAGCGGGATGGCCACCCCACAGCAAGCCGGCCAATAAATCCCAATTGTGGCTTCTTGTTAGGACTGAGTCCACGAGAGGAGGACATCGAATTGTACACTTGCAACCACAGTCTGAAGCTAAAGAGACTAAGGAGAGGTTGCCTCTTAATATTGCGAACTGCCACCCAGTCACATAGCCATTTGCAGCCTGTCCATATTTTACTGAGATGAGCAATTACATGTCCTGTAATGGCAATGAAGCAATAAAATTTATGTCTTGTCATCTTTAACAAGATTAGACATAACCCTACTCATAAATGTAATACTGAGTGGAGATTTTTAAGAACATAAGTATAGTTAAGGATCCTTGAGTTTATCCCTCATAGTTAATTAAAATCCTCCCCAAGAATCGGCAGATGATAGATATAAGGACATTGAACCTTTTAATCCATGGAAGGGTGAACTAATGATTTTTCCGTACCTTGCTCAGCTTCAGTGGGGTCTGTGCCTCACTGCATTTGTACCATATAGATTTCAGAAGAGCAGCGAAGGGAGTGACTCCGATCCCCGCGGCAACGCACACACACACTGGGTAGTGAAATACATCTGTCAGGGCAGTTCCAAAGGGCCCGTCCACTGCCAGCCTGGAATCATAGAGGAATGCAGCCTATTTGACCTTCAGAACACCTTGCTCGTGAACCCAGAACCATCCGGAGCTGGTGCTTTTTACAGGACGTGTTTGCCAGTGCATGCAGAGGTTGACTCTGTGCCTGAAAATGCCCTATTTGGAGAGCCTGGGGTTAGCATGAGGATTTCCAGCTCTGCCTTATTGGGAGACAACGAGGTTGTCCTGGCCCAGGCACTGTTCATGGAAGGACAAAGCCTGACATCTCTCGCTATAGCTCAGGCCTCGTCCATGTGGCATGCTCTCCTTACAGCGCTTAGAAGCTTGTTTTGGCTCCAAGTATCATTGAGGCTGCTGGAAGAGCTATTTCCCTTTCCACCCCAGCTGCCATCAGAGGGAAAAATCTGGAAGCATCAAGGAAGCTTAGCAGGCTTCTATTTCCTCTTCCTAATGTCATTCTCCCCTGTTTACATTTGGTCACACATCTTAGTAGGTTTATGTAATTTTAGTCTAATGGAAGCTATTCATTTGGAATAAATATAATTTTGAAGTCATTTGTCAGTTATGTGGAACTTCTAAAACCCATTATTTTAGATTATACTGACTCAAAATCTGTGGTAATTAGGCCTTGGGTAGCACTGGTATTTTTCTTTGCTTAGCAAATTTTTCTTAATAAGGATAAAGTATATTCATTGAATAAATAAGAGGGTCCTTAGCATGGTCCTATGCAGACTGGTCCCTGAGTTCTTTTCCATCACTCATCACTGGTTCTCACACTGGTGAGATATTAATATTCTTAAAATATTAAATACACAGTACTCCCTACTGCCACACGGCCTTTGCATGCGATACCATTTTCCCTTGGAATAATCTTCTCCAGTTTCTGTTCTTTTCTTTTTCTTTTTCTTTTTTTTTTTTTTTTGAGATGGAGTCTTGCTCTGTCACCAGGCTGGAGTGCAGTGATGCGATCTCCGCTCTCTGCAACCTTTGCCTCCTGGGTTCAAGCGACTCTTCTGACTCAGCCTCCCAAGTAGCTGGGACTGTAGGCACGTGCCACCACGCCCAGCTAATTTTTTTGTATTTTTCATAGAGACGAGGTTTGACCATTTTGGCCAGGATGGTCTTGATCTCTTGACCTCATGATCCGCTCACCTCGGCCTCCCAAAGTGCTGGGATTACAGGCGTGAGCCACTGCACCTGGCATCTTCTCCAGTTCCTTCCCTCTCTCCTTAGTTGGTTAATAGTTATTTCTCTGGTAGGTCTTATCCCAATCATTCCTTTCCTGTGGAAGCCTTCTTGAACCCCTCAGATTAGGTTAAATCCCCTCTTATATAATTTATAGCTCCATGTTTCCCTCCTCTATAGTCCTCATCACAGCTGTAATTTTACAATTTATTGGTGTGTATGCGTGATCTGATTGATTTCTGTGTAGAGCTGTGAGGTCTAGGAAAGTAGGAGTCAGGGCTGTCTTTGCTCACTGCTGTAATCCCAGCACTCCCTGACATGAAGTTGTTCAATAACAATTGGTTGAATAAATTGTAAAGGGAATGTTTAAAATATTTCAGTCAGCAGAATGTATTAAATAACCTCAACTATTCCAAAAGCACACATTTACATATGAACAAAGATATGCTAATTAAAAGGTTTCTGAGTTATTCATAACCATTCCCTAAGGGGTGTCTGTTGAAGACACCGGAGGTTGGCCCATTTGAGCTTTACTATGTGTTCATGAAAGTTCAATTGGGTTTATTTTAAATTATTCTATATGCCAGACTTCCTAATAATTCAAATGAACTCTCCTCAAGTTAATCTTAATTAATAAGGCTTTATTACATATTGATATATGGAAATGGAAGAATAAAAATAAAAGGTCATTAACCAGAAATGGTTAGTATCTTAGCCCACTGTAGATTATTCCATAAATAATTACATAAAGGAAATTGAGAGAAAGAGAGAAAGAAAACCTGTCCATAGATTCAAATGTCTTACTGTTCATTTTTAAAAAATAATCAGTCATATTGGGAATTTATTTGACACTGATTTAAAAAGATGTCAATTAAATCCCAAGAAGAATTTTGTAAATTAATCCACAGAAATATACAATAAACAAATTTCTACATCTTTAGAATTGAAACTCAAAGCTACAGGAGAAAATATTTGGTCTAAGTTCCCTGCTAATACAGTAATCCTCCTGCCACATTCCTGAGAGATGCTCATATACCTATGTTAAACTGCGGGGCACCTTGTTCCACTTAGGGGCAATTCTAAATATTAGACAATTTGTTCTCATGTCTTACTGAAATCTGTCTTCTGACAACTCTCATCTTTTGCCTTTCTGAGAAGCACATTCCAGATCTTTTTCCTTTTTGGCATCTCAGGCCTTTAAATAGTTGAACATAGCTATCATGACATCCCAGTTGTTCTTTTTTGGGCCCAAATTTCTCCATTTCTCCAGATTTTTAACAATCTGAATCAGCTTCATTTGCACAAATTCTTGTTTATCACGTTTATGCAGCTATCCCTGCCTTGATTTAGACACAGCGTTTCTAATAATGAGGCTCAGAAAATGATTTGTCTTGCCTGCATCCCTGTCCTGTGAGTCCTTGCTGGGTAGTTCAGCAGCACCCCACCCTACCCCATTAAGTTCCAGTCTCAGCTCTCTGAACTGACTGCATTTACTCCTCTAACAAACACTTCCATTGCTATTTCTGTGGTAGGTGACCATTCTTATGTTGTTAATAATAATAGTAGCTAACTCTTTGAGCACTTACCGTGTGCTAAGTATTATGTTAAGTGTTTTTATGGACTGTTATGTGTGATCCTAAACAAAGCCATGAGTACTATTATTGTCATCTTCATTGTACAGATGAGGAAACTGAGGCAGTGTGTTACATACATTCTCCAAGATCACACACAAAGTTGGGCTTTGAACCCAGCTCCTCTCACAGTGTGGGCCCCAGCTCTGGGCAAAGGATAGCTGGAAACTCCATCAACTGAGAAATTCCTCTGTTTTCCTTCAGAAGGTCTAGTCTTTTGAAAGAGCTCACATTCTCTCCCTTTTTCTTGGGTTTAGAGGAAGAGGTTTCCCTGTTCTTTTTTTGGGCTTGCTTCCCCTCCTGGGCATCTCACTCACAAATTCCAGGGGCTGGATTAAATTTGTCTGGGATCCAAAGCAGTAAAAAGATATAGTGCTCTCCCCAATATGATTTAATTCAAAATTAAAACAGTGGGGAACTGTAAAATCATCCAAGGAAGTCCAATAACATCCTGATTCTTTGTATGTTGAAGATTTAAACAAATTCTAGTTTTTTGGAAGGCTTTGCCACTAATACATATGCCTACACACATACAGAGGCAGAGGGCGAAACAAATTAGTGAATGGAGGGAAGCAGCTCTGTTTATGACAACTCATTTTTATCGAGCCCATAATGACTTACTGAGTGACTGACAGTCAGGGCCTGTTCTAGGCCCTGTGGATGGTAAAGTGAAGCAAACAGAGGCCCTTTTCTCATAGAGCTTCCATTCTAGTGTGGAGAGATAGACAGTAAACAATCAAGCAAATATAAATATTTAACATGCCAGGTGGTGGTATGTACTATAAAGAAAAATAAAGTCAGCATGTGGCATCATGGCGATTGAGTGACTGCTGGGGGTTGTTTCATGTGCAGTGGGAAGCAAAGGCCTCACTAGAAGGGGACATTTGAACAGAGACCTGAAGGAAGAGAGGGAGCTGCCCAGCAGAGATGTGGGGAACAGCATTCCAGGTGGAGGGAACAGCAATGGCAAAGGCACTGAGGACTACATTCTCAGTGTGTGTGAACAACAAGAAAGCTGGAAGAGCTAAGCCCATGAGGGAGCAGGAGGTGGAACAGATGAGCCCAGGGAGGCCCTGGGGATCCTGTTGGAACTTGCAGCTGGCGATGCACTCCATAGGCAGAAAGCATGTCAGCTACTGAGTAACCAGTACTGAGTTCTTCTTGGGGGACTGGTTGAAATGCTATCTGGTTTGTGAAGGGGAAGGGTGGTTGATAGAACAGATAAGTGTATACACACAGGGCAGAAGCCAGTTAGCAAAAAGGATGAAAACTTTTGCCTTGGCGATGCCAAGGGGAGAGCAGGGACCGAGAAAGCAGTTAGACACTGTGGCGTGTGTGTGTGTGTGTGTGTGTGTGTGTGTGTGTGTGTGTGTGTGCTGGGGGGGTTGGTGAGGGTGGGGGTGCTGTGCAGTGCATCTACTTTTATTTTTGATTTTAGGCATTTGCTCTGCACTCTGAACCTTAAAATTTTATTACATTGCTTCCTTTCCATTATAAAAAAGAAAATAGTCATGTGTTCTCATCTGATTTGGGGCTCTGGCTTGAGCAGATGATGCTTCTACTTGGCTTGGCATACCATTCTTCAGGACCAGTGTCTGAAAGGAGGCCTGTGACTCTTCCTACCCACTAAATACAACCAAGCCCAGGGTGCAGTTACAGCTCAGTAGCCTACGAAAACAGGGAAAGCAGGACAATAAGCTGACTACATTTTGTGTCTCAAATTTATTGTGGTACCTTGTTTGTCACCAATAAATATTTGTCAAACTAAATGAGATAAAGAATCCATATTGGCCCCAGGGCTTCATTAATTCTTTTGTCAAATCTTTCCTCTGTACGCACTGCATGTCAGACACTGTTGTAGGCACTGGAGATTCCGAGGAGGAAAGACAATGTCCTGCCCTCAGGAACTTCCATTTGAAGTGTCTCTACCGAGCTCCCTACCACAGTGCTCATGACAGTGGCTGCTTCTTGGTAGTTCCTGATACCCTCCAAGGATGGCAGAAGTAGGAATCTCTTGATGCTTCTTTTCAAATATGAAATTCTTCCAAAAATGTTTTTCTCATTTTTTTTGGTGTCCCTGTTCTTCCAGAGCCCCAAATGTGTGCTTTGCATGCTTTTGGGTAACCCTGTATGAACAGTGGGAATTGACCCGAAGCCATTGTTTACTGAACAGAGCTGAGGAGTGGTCATTTACTTTGGGACTTCTGTTATGTGCCCAGGCTTTTTCTTTTTCTTTCCTCCTCCTCCTCCTCCTTCTTCTTTTTTGAAACAAGGTCTCACTCTGTCACCCAGGCTGGAGTGCAGTGGCGCGATCTCGGCTCACTGCAACCTCTGCCTCCCAGGTTCAAGCAATTCTCCTGCCTCAGCCACCCAGATAGCTGGGATTACAGGCATGTGCCACCACACCCGGCTAATTTTTGTATTTTTAGTAGAGATGGGGTTTTGCCATGTTGGCCAGGCTGGCCTCAAACTCCTGACCTCAAGTGATCCGCCCGCCTTGGCTTCCCAAAGTGCTCGGATAACAGGCGTGAGCCCAGACTTTTCTGAATAGAGTGATGCTGTGGGTTGAGTGTGTCCCCCATTGATATGTTAAAGTCCTAACCTCAGTACTTAGGATGTGACCTTATTTAGAAATAGGGTTGCAGACATAATGAATAAAGCTAAGATGAGGTCATGCTGGAGTGGTATGGGCCCTTATATCCAATATGACTTGGGTCTTTATAAGAAGAGGACACAGAAACATAGCATCCTTGTTATGAAGACCTGACTTTACAAATACAATAAAAAAAACTCAGACTGTGATAGAAAAAAATGCCCAGAGTTGTCTCACTCATTGCAGGCTGCATAGAAGTAACCAGGTGATGCTTTAGGACCTGGAAGAGAAACCTCCTTCCTGGATCACCCTCTCTTGGCTGAACATTAGTCTTTTTTTCTTTTTTTTTTTTTTTTTTTACAGGAACAGATGTGTGTCTCCTAGAAGTCTACAAAATTATACTTTTTACACACATTCTCAAATTTAGACACAGTCTCAAACTCACCATTTAATAAAGATATTGCTGAATCAGGTAGCATGTTGATACATTAAGATACCTTACTTTTTATAATACTGCAATTTATACATGAGAGAAATGGGCACGAACCTTGGCAGGCTCCAGGGCTCCTGGAGGGCCTGTCCCTCTGCCCCAAAGGCCTCCAGTAGCGCTGCTGTCCAGTCTCCTGCTGCCCGGATGTGCACGCTGAAAAAGTCCTCCTGGGGGGCAGAGGTAAGGGTGAAGGGGTGCCACTCCAGCGAAGATATGGCTGGGCACTGCACCAAGATGTACTGCCCTGGCGCCATTTTAAAGCCACGCTTTTTCATGTGAAGTTCCAGGACTCCAGAGGGGTGGCTTACCACCTATGTGAGAGTGAGAGAGTTGTTTGCCTTTGTCCTCGAAATAATAAAGAAACACCTTTCATTCCATCAAAGGTGTTGAAAATTTTAGATCAGCTTGTTTCAGGTGTAATTTACATATCCCATCTGCTGTTAGCTCCCAAAGATATGTGCCATCGCTTTCACATCTGTGTTTGCAACTCCAGCAAGAATGATGCTCCTCTCCTTCAGAGGGTGGCATTTGAAATAGCTGCACCCAGGTGCAATTGGTGCCCAGCATGTGAGTCCATGTGTCCAATGGCCAGGCTTTCCACAGCACAGTCAACCAGACCCAAGACAGTAGAAGCTTGCATATTATTATGCTTAGGGTTATTAAAATAAGTCACCACATTATCTCTGTGTTTTTAACATCTAGGAACATTTTGTTACCTTTTTCAATGATCTGCATCTTTTCTCAATGTCTTGTGAATTAACCCTCTTATTTCTTCAGGCTAAGTGAAAAACAATCTTCAAACTCACTTCAAACTCTTTTCTTGTTTTGTTTTCTTTTTGGTTGAGTCTCATCCTGTGTCCTGACTCCGCTCTGAGTTTTAGATGTAGGGAAGCATTGGACAAGGTTTCTAGTAGTGTTTATAAAAGCTTTATGACTTACTGCTTATCAGAGGGAAAGAGCTAATTTCCCTTCTTAGATTTCAATCTTGTTTCCTGAAAAATCTCTCCAGGCCCTCCTGTCTTCTTTTGTGACAAGAGGTATAAGGGAACAAAATCTAGCATCTAGATACTGTGACAGTATTTTTCCGTTCAAAAGAGAATTTCACAGCATTTTCATCATTGGTTCTAAGTTTTCCCTCTCCCTACTGGTATCTGTTCTGACATTGCTGTTAAATGGTCTCCCTCGTAACAGCTCGAGTAGGTTTCCAGAAGTTTTACAGTCTAGCTTTTGATACAGCCTGACATCCTTTGGTGCTTAACTTAAAAACAGCAACACAGAAACAGCTTAAAGCAGAAATAGGAAGCAATTTCTATACATCTGCTTTCATGAAGGCGGCTACAGAGATACAGGATTCTGTTAAAATTGTATTAGCAAAGTGGGATAGGCTTGGCTAACGGAGAGTTTCTTCTTGGACATTTCAAAAGCTGGGGGAGAGTATTTGGCACCTTTTCACTCTCCTAGGCATGCATTTTTTTGGTCTTGGTCTACCCCTTCCCGTCTTCCTCCAGCAAGAGGTAAACATTGTGAGGACGTAGAGATGTGAGGATGGGGAGCAAGACTGAAAAATGCTACCAGGAGCATGCTGCTCATGAGGGTAGAACTCTATCTTCATCCTTCATCTCCATTTTTCTTCCCCACAGTGGTCCCTCTTGCTCTGAACCTTATGGTGACTGTTTCCCTTTCCTCTGCTTGGTAGTCCCCAGTGAGAGTGTATAGATTTGAAAATGTTATTTGTTTGCAAAATTTGTGCCTTTACGTGGTGAAGAAGTGATTATCCTTCAAGTCACTATGACCCATGTAAAGTACACTCACTCCCCTTGCATTTCCCCCTAGAGAGAAAGCAAAATAAAGACAAAGCAGATCATTCCAGTGCTGTACAATAAACCTTTATCAGAATTCTGTGTGCCGTCTGGAGCCCTGATCCCTGTCTTCAGCAAAATTAGTCACACTAAAAGATGCTCAGGATACAAGCAATTATTAGAACAGAAGATGAGCCTCTAAATTACAGACAGTTCTGCAATAAAAATGGCAAATTAAAAATTTGGGCTAATAAAAAATTTTCATCTACACTCAGGCTTTTATTCAGACATAAAGCTACATGCATACCTTGGTAATGACAACTTCTTGTTGAAATCGCCAGAACCTAATTATTCTTTCACATGCATACAAGACCACAGGGCCTAAAATCCATTTCCAAGCCTGAAGAGAGTAGCAGAGAGAGAGAGAAAAAGGAAATGAAAATAGAATCCAAATATTTTCAATTTGAACCAAATCAATATACAACATGATGGGGATTAGATATTTTTCCTTTAACTTTGGGCCAGTTATCAGCAACAAAGATGTCTCCTTGTATTATATACTATAACATTCAATTATTTATTGAAGTCTACAAGCTTATTTAAGAGATTAAACTCTTCTATATTGGTTTTTATGCTTACTTGATCAATGATGCCTTTATGTAATTAGAAATAATTGAATTTGCAAAGAAATAAAAAAGCAGATTGATGTTTATATTACATATGATAGGGTCGTAAATGCTCCCAAACTCAAGCCAAAGTCAAAGCTACATTACTCACCCAACACAGGACATAAGAAATTACATTTTAAAATCTCAAATAGTAATTTTTTGGGCCAAGAATGCATCACAACTACAGGGTCTGCCTGAATAAACACAGAAACACACACACACACACACACACACACACACACACAGTTATTTGGAGTAAAATATAAAGTCAATTTCCTGGCACCTTAAATTTAAGTTTATCTAATCACAGCAAAAGGCTCAATAATTGTCTAGAGAATTGTGATGGTGAAAATGTCCATTTTAAACAAATCAGATGCTATGTTAACTTTTGATGAGTATAATGTGCATTACTGATGATCAATTTACCAGCAGGCTATTGTATCAGGAGCTCTGTACAACATAAGGTGTCTTCCTCAGTGAAAGGGAAGAAATGGGAAGTTACAATTTTTGAAGAGTTCTATTTGTACTGAACAATCCCATGAGGCATATGTATTACCTTGATTTTACAGAGGAAGGAGTTAAGACTCAGTCAGATCAACCAAATTGTCCAAGGTCATAAAGGGACGAAGGTGTTTCGTAGAGATGTGAACTCAGGTATGCCTGACTACCCAGCCTGAGTTCTTACCAGGACCCCAGGCTACCTCCCATGTGCATTGCCATATTATCGTGGTCCTTTCTGTCCAGCGCTAAATTGATACTGAGGCTTGTTTTCCAAAACATTAGAAACTCATGAACTCATTGAATTTTAGGATACTGCATGCTCTTGGAAATCTACTCTAATTCTTTTTTTTCTTTTTAAAATTTTTATTGTTTTCAATAGACAAATAATAATTGTATATATTCACGAGGTACATAGTGATGTTTTGATACATACAATGTATCATGATAAGGTCAGGGTAAATTACTCTATCCATCATCTCAAACACTGATTATTTCTTTGTATTGGGAACATTCAATATCCTCTAATTCTTTTAGAATTAAAAGAAGGAAAATCCTGACATTCTGGGAATGGGTCTGAGTTGCCTGGAGAGTCTGAGGTGGACCAGAGATAGCCAGGGCCAGAACTCAAGCCTTTTCATATGTCCCTACACTTCCTCCTAGGTTTTCTAAATCCACCACCTTACTCCTTGAATAGTATCTGGGGCGGGGGGTGGGGGCAGGAAGGATGTCTCGGTCTTCAGAACTCAGACATTCACCACCCCTCCCCGATTGACTCATTACTCAGTGCTCCCTGACCAGTCATCTGGCTCTGTCTCTTCTGTTGATGGGTCACAAGTCTTTTAGCATTATTTTTACTTCCTTTGAGTCACCTTTCTCGTTTTGTCTATTGCTTTTTGTTGATTTCTGGGTCTCTTCGCATGGTCCCTCTTCTCACCTACATCAACCCTCTCTGCTTTTTTTCCTGGGGGGGCTCTTGGCCTCATAAAAGCTAGACCTATGGGGGCAACACAAGGCAACACAATTTGACCCACTTATTTTTTCTGCCTCAGTAGGGCCCAGCAATGTGTTCAGAACAGCAAAGAGAATAAACCTTTTGTCCCCCTATGCTGTGGATGAGGTGGTGAAGATGAACAGAGTAAGGGAAATCTAGGAAGCGTCCCTGGGAAAGATGGGGTTGGACCGAGCAAAGGAATCCTTAGGTCTCTTATGCTTGAATGAACCAGAAAGCTTTTTGAGAATTGCTTTGGATGTTTATAGAAATGAGAGCAAGAATGCAGTTCTTTCTAAATGGGCTAAAAGAGATACTGGCAAAGACACTCAGTCTTCATATATTTTTACAAATAATCTTCCCCACCCATTTTAGAGAGTTTGGGGCATCACAAACTTCATTTTGGTGATGTCAAATCAGACACGATCTCTGATATTTTCCACGTTGATAAAATGTAATGGATTATTTTTCTTTCCATGGTTCAGGTAGGAGAATATAAGCTATTAATCCCCGACTCCATCTCAATCTTAGTATATCCTTTGCTCCGGGAGGAAGTAGCCAGTGTCGTTACCTGTGTTGTGCCTGGAGCCCCTGGAAGTCAGGGCCTGAGGGAGAGATGGCCAGGGATGAATATTAGGAAACTGTCCTTGCAGTGATACCCGGGACAGACAAGAGAGAATCAAGACAAGGAGGCCTTGATTCAGAGCAAGAGGGCCGTGTGTCAAAGTAGATGCTAGGCTGGGTGTCTGAAGACCTGGATTCTGGCCTTGGGGCCACCACCCCTCACTCTGTGCCACTAGGCACATCTTGAGATTTATTATGTTCATAACGTCCTGTTTTGTAAAATGGGAACTAGCTGGAGAAAATTATTATTTAGTTCCCTCCAAGCTCTTAAACACTTTGGCTTTATTCACAGAGATAAGTAGAACGTTGGGGCTATGTACTTGTAGCAGCTAGCAGCAGAGTGCTGACAAAATGGCGGTTATGGAAGCCAGAGACTTAGAGTGAATGCTGTGAATGGAGGAGAAAGTTCATGGCCACAGAGTTAGGGGCTCTGGTTCTTTAAGGTGGCTTTACTGGGAATGCTTTTTGTGACCATGGGTAAGACACTGAAACTGCTTGGACCTCAATTTCCTCAGCTATTAAATAATGGGGAAGAACTATTTAGTATCTAAGTTTCCTTAATGCTAAAATACTCCGTGGCTTCTTGGCTTTCTTTTCTTCTTCTTCAAAAAATGCTCAAAAAGTCACGCTACAGTGAGTATTTTATGATAGAAATAAAACGATGTTGATTCAAAAGCAGCAATAATGAAACTTGTTTCCTTCACTTTCACTCCTGGTTTTTCATTCCTACCAGAAAATAAGAACATGCTGGCTTTGATTTTATTTTATGTGTGTGTTTATGAATAGCCTCTTTTTCTAGACAATCAGATCTCCTGGGGCAGGTCCCACGTGTCTGAATCCTGTCTACTGCATTGCCAAGCAATGCACTTAGGCACTCGGTGAAGTTCGCTGAATTGACTCTACCTCCATCAGGGCTTTCTCCTTTACCACTAACAGCTTTCCCTAGTAATTACAAAGTGTCAGCCTTATGGTTACGATGAGTTGATGCTGTGGTTAAATGACATAAAGTGCTTCTCCGGCCTAGGACGACCAGGCATCTTTTGAGACTGGATTGCATCAGCAGCAAACCAGGAATCTGGAGTCCTGTATTTGTCAGTGCATTTGGGCTGGAAAGGGAGACTGAGACAAGCTGCGAAGATGAACAGAGTAAGGGAAATGTAGGAAGCGTCCCTGGGAAGGATGGGGTTGGACCGAGCAAAGGAATCCTTAGGTCTCTTATGCTTGAATGAACCAGAAAGCTTTTTGAGAATTGCTTTGGATGTTTACAGAAATGAGAGCAAGAATGCAGTTCTTTCTAAATGGGCCAGAAGAGATATTGGCAAAGACACTCAGTCTTCATATATTTTTACAAATAATCTTCCCCACCCATTTTAGAGAGTTTGGGGCATCACACACTTCATTTTGGTGATGTCAAATCAGACCTGGTCTCTGATATTTTCCACGTAAGACAAGTAGGGGAGGAGGGACTGCCGGGTATAGTTGGTTTCTTTAATCAGTTCCATTTACACGAGGTGAGGTACAAAACGTTATCTGTCCTAACACTGGGAACAGTGAACCGCTGAAGGAGAAATGATACATATTCTATTGATCAGAGCACCGTGAAAACGCCCTGAGTTAAGAGAGGCAAGGGAAGAGAAATGGAGCTTTGTAGAGACCGAGTAGGTGTGGTGCAGTGAAGCGCAGGAACCCTTCCTTGTCCTTGGGATGCCTTTCGGATTCAGTGTCTATAAGACATCAGAGAGAATATCGTACAGTTCAGCCAAGCGGTAATTGCATAGCCCACACACGCTTTGAATCAGGATCCATTACAAATAATGGGAGAGAGTGACACCCTGAGTTTGGGTGTGCAAGGAAGTGGAGCAGGGGAGAGTTAGAGAGAGATGAGCAAGGCCCCCTCTTAATGATAATTAATGCCGGCAAACGCTGCTGGGAGCAGGCCCTGGTCTGTATTCATGAGGTGTGGGGGAGTATTGATTTTTTTATGGAGATGCTGTAGCTGAAAATTTTAGAGAGGTATTCATGTTCCTCATTAATATGCAGGTTGGATAGTGGCTACTGAGAGTTGAGTTTAAGACAGAGACAATCTATACCGGCCATTAAAAGAACCACAGTCTAATGGGCATATCTATTCCGGTTCTCTCGGTTTTAATCATTCCTCCTAGTACTTTCACCCTTAAAATCCAGTGCTTAATTTAATATATTTGAGGGTTTTTTTTTTAAACAACGCAATCACTTATATTCTTCATATGTTGATGACTTAATTTCCTAAATCTTCATCATTTGTATACTATTATACCCTGTTATTCCATGTTTTAAGTGATGTATTTTTGGACACTTATTTCCTCCTACTGTTTATCTGCCAGATGCATTTATTTTCTTTCAAGCATCACTTGGTTGTCCCAAAGATTTGCACTGTTCTAAGATACCAGAAGAGGCCAGATAGGAATATTACTTCTCTTTCCCTATGCTACCAACTGTAATGGTTACCACCTACCCGGGAAATCTGACTTTTCAGATCTGTGGACATTATCATCTACACAAATTAATTAAGTATCTTCTTGGCTAACATCATCATTATTTCAGTTACAGGAGCTTAATTAGAACAAGAAGTAAATGCGTTTGACACACTAAGTTTTTGATCCTTGAAGTTGTCAAAAGAAAGAAGGCAAGCTTATAAAGAAGCCCTGAGCCTCATTTGGCTGTTCATTGACCTAGGTTTGAGCAGGGGTGCCAGTAATTCTCAGACTGGGATGGAAGTTATGCAGAGGACAGGTGGCTAAGGATGCAGGGAGCACAAAGAAGGGTGGTGAGGCCCAAGGCTGACTCCTCCAGGGACATCATTGTGCTGTTATGAATTCCCACCATATCAGACACTAGTATTTAAAGGTAAGTAGAAGAATACATTTCAAAGCTGAACATAGTGCTTTTGGCAGTAAACCTCTTTAAAAATTATCTGTAACTTGATTTCTCCATTAGCACACTTAATAAAGAGTTGGCTTTGTCTAGTGGTGAAATGTGCTTTCTTTTTTCCAAGCCTATAAAAACTCTGTATTTTAACTGTGGTGACATTTATTTTTAAAAGCTCCTGGGTTCATTCTTACCGAGGGTTCCTTGCCAGAAAATTGAGGCACGGGGCATTGGGCCACTGTCTGCCATTCTGCATAGCGGTCTCTACAGAAGGTGATGTTGTGCAGAGAGAGACTGTCTTGGGTTTGGCCTCGAACAATCCGACTTGTTATTTAAGAAAAGCAAAACAAAACAAAAAGCAAAAAACGTCAAACTGATTTTGAGCAGTCTTGTTCTCCCACAGGTATATATCCTACAGTGAGCTCTGAAATATCACTTCCAGTTCTTGAAACTCGGGCTGTCATTCATTTCCCCCAGCTTCTTTAAAAATAAGCATTTAAGAAGCTTCGAGTAACTTTGAAGATCCCAGAAAAGAAGGGCCCCTCTGTGGTATCCTGTGTTAAATTGAAAGTGTCTATATTAGAGAATTCATAATGAAGGGAAATTGTTTGAACACATCCTTTTGTAGACTGTTGAATTTAATTAGGTTTCATCTTGTTCTGATTGCTGATTTGGGCTAATTGGCTAACTTTGTACTATTTGGTTCTTTTGCAGATTTATTTAACTTCTACCCTCCTTGGGTTGTTTCTGAATGCTCAGAAGTCTTCAAGTGAAGGAGTCAAAATACCGGAAGAATGGTATTTTTCCTCCTAGTGACCACCAGCAAGCCAGTGTTTGACTCAGTCAAAACAGGTCACAATGGAGTGTGTCTTCAAGACGGTATTGATACATTTAGGAATGGAAAGAGAAGGCAGTCCTAATGACCGGAGCACTGGACGAAGAGTCCTATAATCCTGCTATATTATATTTGCCATGAGTGCACTCCTGACTGACCTTTGACAAGTAGCTTTGGTACAAGCTCCTAGGGTTCCTTCTTGGTGCACAGACAGCAAAGCCCAAGACATCAAGGTCAGGGAATCTGGGAATTGTTCAGTTCCTAGGTGTTTGTGAATGAAATGCATTGATCTGTTTTGAGAAACATGCTACTCTAGACTGAGAAACCTTAGCATCACACAGACTTATGTCCTGGACAGCCTGTGGAGTGGTGTGGCCCCTGTTATATCACAGGGCATGGGAGGAAGGAGCAGTAATACGCCCTTGGAAAACAGCCTGGTGTCAGCTAGAACTGACATCTTGGCTTTTGTCCCAGTCTGTTTTATGGAAGCCATCCAAACTTGATAACATCCCTCTGAGTTAGATGAGAAAAACTATCTGTAAATCTCCAATGTACAAATGATGCCCAGACATAGGCAGGGTGAATAGTAAGTGAGAGTCAGAGGAAAGATTCCAGATACTTTAACACTTTCATTCTCAGGCTGTAGGCAGCATTCCCCATAGTGTCTAAAAGAAGCCTCATATCATTCCACAAATGCTGTATCTTTTAAACATTTTAAACGTTTGAAATGTCTTCATCTATGCCATCCCATAATAGGAAGATTAGTGGGCCTTAACACATTCCAATAATCCTACTTTCACTTGGCACTTTGTGTAGAATTTGCAAATTGCTTTCGCTGTAAACAGTAGCTGTAGAATACTTCACACTGAGAAGATTAAATGAGGCCCTTATCCTAAAATAAGCTTTTCAACTAGGTTAAAATGACTAAAAATTTCATCTTATGAGATGTTATTTGGATATCAAAAATATCTCCAACGAAACACTGCCCATTGAAATTCTCTTGTGCTTCTACAATGCACCAGGGTGTGGATGTGGGGGACGTATGTTTAGGGGGGTAAGCACATCATGTCTGTGAATAGGGCTTCTAGATTCCCCTGAGTTATAGATAGCCTCATAAATGTGCTTCAGGGGTTAACAACCCCGGCGTCGGGGGCAGAATCAGCAGTAGAAAGGGAGGACTGACAGTCTCTGAGTTGGAACACACTGGGTCTACACACCATCCACCTTGCCCATCCCAAGTACAAAAAGGAATGTTGAGATTTCCACATTCAGAAGAGCCAATCCCAGAGACCTCTAGCTGAAAGAGAATGGAAAGCCTCTAGCCAGGCAGCAGAGTACGGGTGAATGTGGACTGACCCGGTTACTAAGGCTCAGCAGAGGCACAGGCAGTCTTTTAGGGTAAAATGCACCCTCAGGGGCACTTCTTCCGTGGAGAATGTGTTTCTGTCCACCAGCTGAGGGACCACGGGAGAAGTCTTAGGCACAGGCAGTGGCAGCGGCAGAACTGCCACCCCCTTCCAGAAGTAGGGGGCTGAGAAGACAGGAGCATTAAGGGTGAGGAGGGAGATTGGAGGCGTTGTTGACTTGTGGAAGGGCAAATCCCAAAGCGTTGTCTGTGGGCCCTACATGGGACCCAGAGTCACCAAGGCAGGTGTGACTTCCTAGGCCATGCCACTCTGCAGCTATGCGCTTGCTCTTCCAGGTCCGCGCAGAGTCGGAGGCCACCTCCGGGACAGGACCCTCCATGCTCAGCGGTGGCAATGGTGGGAGAATGAGGGGTGGAAGAGGGTATTCTGTGGTGCGGGAACAGAGGAGTTGCTGCTGGCAAGCCAAAAAGGGCATTAGCAACATTGCTGGCCACATTCTTGCTGGTGTTGAGGAAGGTTTAATTCCTAAAATGGAAGACTTGTTCTTCAGGGGCTTGCAAACCAGAGTAAAGGTCTGATTGATAGTCTAAAGACTGGCGTCCTGGATCTGACTCTGCTGTTTATTCATCATGGGACCTTGAGGGCATCACTTAACCCTCAGAACACCTTTTTCCTCTTTATGAAATGGGGACAGCAGCACCTTCTCTACATGACAGGACTGTTGTGGGGGTCAAGTTGATCATGTATATGAATGTGCTTTGAAAATTGTAAAATGGAAAAAAAGGCAATCAGTTTTTGAAATAATTAAAGGGACAAGCTAGTTCACAGACAGCAATTGATGTATTAGTCCAGGGCCATTTATTAATATTTAAAGGATTGAAAAGCATTATATTTGAGGGTGAACACATCAGGGGCTATGCTAGCTTCCTGAAGAAGAGATGAACCATATCAGGCAGGTATTGAATACCAGAACAGTGTTTTACGGGATGTCTGAGGAAAATGGGGTCCTAGAGGTCAAATGGGGAAACTGAGGCTCAGAGGACCTGAAGGGCTCACTCTGATAACTGGTGTCAGAGCTGCTTCTGGACCCCACACCAGACTGCCCATGCCACACATTGTCCCTGCCCGAACAGTGGGTTTCCTAGTTGACGGTTTTGGTTAAGCAGAAGTGAAATCTTGGTGTCAAAAATATATATCCTGAGTAATCTCACATAAATTGGATGGCAGAACAGGTACTGAATGAAACATAGATCTACTGTCATCCTGCATTCATTAGGATTCCTGAATTTTATAAACATGCCAAGACTCACTAACAGAGTCAGAGAGGAAAAATAAATATAATACTTCACCATCTATGTAGCTTATTTTCAGTGTTACTGAAAAAGCGTTTGCCACAGTCAATGTGCTTTTCACACATTATACGAGTCCTGTAGTCACCGCACGCCGGCTCCTTCATCTAAAGGACTTTCTAAGATTATTTTGGGACTCTCAGAGATAAAATCCTTGCAGAGGAGCGCAGTATGGACTTACCCCGTCCCATGGATGGCCAGGCTGAGAAAGAAGACGATGAAAACATGGTGTGTGTACCAGAACAACTCATAGGAGGCCTGTCTGATGAACTCAGTTGACGAGGTCATGATCAAGACTAAAGCCAGAGAGATCACCAGACCGGTGACGCCTGCTATTGTCCTTAGCAATTCAGTGGTTGTGTTCTAAAAAAAACAACAACAACAAAAAAAGAAACAAACAAAAAAAAACACCTTGACATTAAATATCCTGGCATATTTTTTTTTTTCATTTTTAGGACCAGTACTTGAGATTTCAAGCAGGGAGCCGTTCACAATGTTTCACTCAGAAGCACGTTAGCCTCAGCGAGGATGCAGGTGCAACTCAAGAAGCGAGCTTACTCTTCCACCCCCTTCCCACCAGCTTACGGTGGTTACTTGCTTTGCTAAAATTTCGTAAAATACCATTTCATCAATCACATTTTTTTATTTTTGTATATATCATTTCACATCAAAGTTATTATACTGGAAAAAAAACCCACATAAATAAATTAAAAAAAAAAAGCTGGGCATGGTGGTTTGAGCCTATAGTCTCAGCTACTCAGTAGGCTGAGGTGGGAGGATCACTTGATCCCAGGAGTGTGAGGCTGCAATGAGCCGTGATGCTGCCTCTGCATTCCAGCCTGGGAGACAGAGTGAGACCCTGTGTCTAAAACAACAACAACAATAACAAAATGGGAAAAAAGAAAAAACAAAAAAAAAAAAAACCAAAGTGATTATGTTGAATTGAAATTAGGGCAGCATGAAAAGAGCATTTTAAGATAAAATATTGCAAAATAAATCTGAGTTTTAAGTTTTTAATCTTCAAAATAACTATGTGGATCACCATGCTTAATTGCATTTTAACATTAATAAACACATTTTTTTGAGAGGTCCCTTGGGGCGTTCCTAATAAAGCAGCTGCACACTCAGTTCCCTTGGTAGTTGTTCCTTGCTCTTGCTTTTTAATTGGAAAGACCATGACTTGCATTTCTTTCACGCCATCTCCGGGGGCCTGGAATAAGGCTTGGTAAATCCTAGGTGATCAATAAAGGTACAGCTATTCTTATCTGGTGGACACGGCTAAACGGCCAGAATTCTGACCTGTGAGTGCAAGGGACAGTAAAATAGCCTTTTAGAATAGCATCACACAGCAGTTTATTTTCATTGTGAGTTTCCCATGTTCTTGCCAAGTCATTAGTATTCATACATTGTGTTACTATCGTTGAGACGGCCATGAGCTCAATAAACTCACTATATCTTTTGTCAGTAAAATCTCATTAATTTGGGCGGCTTTGAGATCTGGAGGTAATTCGGACAGGGACTTCTTCATTATTTTTTCTTCATAGAGCAAAGAGTGGAAATAAAATTGAAAGGGGTATGTCTCAAACATTTAAAATATTTTCTTCTCAAGTACCTTCAGGCATTTTAGAAATCCATTTACATCATATGATATGCTAATTTCACATCATTCTTCCTTGCCTATTAAGGCAAATCGCCATGTCTCTTTCTTGCAACACATTTATAGACTGGTTACAGTTGCAATGTATCCTCCAAAACAATCCCACTGCATCTCTAAAAATGCTCTATAATGTACACTCTGTGTTATTGATACTCATCTCTCTCCAAATACCCTAAATTAGAGGGTTTCCTGAGCTTAATTAGTACTTACATAGTATATTGCTTCTAAAATTTTGAAATTACTGCATTGGTAGTAGCTTTATTATTTTTCTAGTAAGATATATAATCACATTGCTTGAAAAGTATTTTTAATAAATACTATTTATTATATAGACTATGCAAAATGTTGAGATTTATTCTTGAGTGTGTGTAGCAATGGATTTTCCAGCGTCTTAGTGGGGAAAAACAGCAACCTCAGTAGGTGCCTAGACAAATGCTGTGATTCAATGGACGGACACAAAGGCATCCCCACTCATAAGGGCAGCTGTAGTTCTGATTCGGAAGTGTGAAATTTTTGCTTCCAATAGCTGTCAGCTAAGAAAAGGTAGCTCAAGCCGAGCGCGGTGGCTCACGCCTGTAATCCCAGCACTTTGGGAGGCCGAGGTGGGCGGATCACGAGGTCAGGCGATCAAGACCATCCTGGCTAACACAGTGAAACCCCGTCTCTACTAAAAATAACAAAAATTAGCTGGGCGTGGTGGCGGGTGCCTATAGTCCCAGCTACTCAGGAGGCTGAGGCAGGAGAATAGCGTGAATCCGGGAGGCGGAGCTTGCAGTGAGCCGTGATCGCACCACTGCACTCCAGCTCTGGCAACAGAGTGAGACTCTGTCTCAAAAAAAATAAATAAATAAAAATAAAAAATAAAAGAAAAGGTAGCTCAACTAAACCTGATCAATGGCCTGATATTGAAAATTATCTTAGGCTAATTAGGGGACATGACATGGAACAAGTGTCCCAAAACCAGATTTTGAGTTTTTGTTCTTTAAATAAGGCTGCATGGGGAAATGGTCACTTAAAGAGATGGCCTGGATAAGAATGGAGGGATTTTCATTGCTGAAGTGTATTGCCTTACGGCTTTTCTTGGGCAATAAAGATATTTTTAGTCTGGTCAACGTGCTGCACACATATGCCAATATGGTGGTATGTGGAAAAAAACTGAGATCAACCACAAAGAAAGAGGTAGGGGTGAATTAAGGGAGACGACCGTCTTCATCTCGGAACATAGATTGCTGTGGCTACATTTTTGGTTTTCTTTTTGTTCCCCATAGCTGCTGACAGTCTGTGCACACAGGTAATTAGCATTAATGATGTCACTGGCCATGCAGGTCTCATTATGAAATTAGCTGCTTTGCCCAGTATCTGATTTGGCAAAGCAGCTATTCACATATGTGCCAATGTATGAGGCATTCGGAGAACAGATCCGGAAAACAATCTGCAGATTGAAAATGAAGACATCCAATTTATAATCTCTGTGTTTAGCTGGCACTTCACCTTCTTTATGAGTCTAACATCAGTGAAAAAATATCTAATCCTGAACTGCTTTTAAAATGTTAAATTTTAAAATATTAGGAATTTAACAGGTTACTGCGTTTCTAGTGTGTGTGTGTATATATATATAAATTAATTAGGTGACATATCTTTTTCTCCTTGCTCATAACTTCCCAGCAACATTAATGAGAAAAAAATAACTTTTTAGAAAATGTGAAATTGAAAACAAATTCACATATAAATTCATTCTCCAGCTCTTTTATTAAAAGCTTTTCAATATAGCGTTCCTGATTAGAGGACTGGAAAAGGACGGATTTTTCAGGGGAGAAGCTTGTTAGCATGCAGGAACTCACTGTGGGGAAGGTCCGGACAGGGTTGAGGTAGCTCTCGTTAGGGGTGTTGCCCAGCTTGGAAAGTGCGGCCAGAAGTCCCTGGGCCTCCTCGGACTGGCTCCAGTGGTAGCGTTCCAGGTTGAAGAAATGCGCCACGATGTGGATGGCTAGGACAAGGAGATGACACCAAACATGCACCCTGTGGCTTGCTTTCTCCCTAGTTACTAAAAAATACAGTGTCTCTGTGCTCAAGTTTCTCTGTTCTGGTTTTTGTAATCTCCAAGGAAAAGTGATGTATTTACACATCTTTCCCAGTGCTTTGAGTGGAGTGGATTGAATACTTCCAAAGATACTGTACAAAAATCTCCACATTTATTTAAGTTATATTAATAAATAAAGTAAATCTCAGTTCATCATAAAGTGTATAGTTATCATGGAAGTGGAATAAATGTTATGATATCTCAGCATAATTATATATGAAATAATTCTAAAAGAAATAATGATATATAACTTCTTAAGAAATTGGAAAGCATTATTCTAGAGTACTGTACATTATACATGCTGATATGTATGTATATGATACTGTACAAAAATCTCCACATTTATTTAAGTTATATTAATAAATAAAGTAAATCTCAGTTCATCATAATTTAAAGTGTATAGTTATCATGGAAGTGGAATAAATGTTATGATATCTCAGCATAATTATATATGAAATAATTCTAAAAGAAACAAGTATATATAACTTCTTAAGAAATCGGAAAGCATTATTCTAGAATACTGTACATTATACATGCTGATATGTATGTATATAATGTAAATGATAGATACCAGGAGAGATATTGTTTTTGTTCTCTTTCAGCCACTCTATTTTCTGTTTATTCCTTTCCACATTTTAGTATACAGTAGTCCCCCCAGTCTAAAGTTTCACTTTCTCCAGTTTCAGTTACCTGAGGTCAACCACAATCAGAAAATATTGAATGGAAAATTCCAGGAATAAGCAATTTGTGTTTTACACTGCATGCCATTCTGAGTAGCATGATGAAATCTCATGCCATCCCGCTCTGTCCCACCTGGGATGTGAATAATCCCTTTGTCCAGCATATCCAGTAGCCCTCTTGGTTATCAGATCAACTGTCACGGTATCCCAGTGTTTGTGTGCGAGTCATCCTTATTTTACTTAAAAATGGCCTCAAAGCGGAAAAGTAGTGATGCTGGCAATTCGGCTACACCAAAGGGAAGCCATCAGGTGCTTCCTTTAAGTGAAAAGGTGAAAGTTCTCTACTTAATAAGGAAAGGAAAAAAACTGTATGTGGAAGTTGCTAAGATCTACGGTAAGAACAAATCTTCTATCTGAAATTGTGAAGAAGAAAAAAGACATTTGTGCTAGTTTCGCTGTCACACCTCAAACTGCAAAAGTTACAGCCACAATGCATGATAAGTGCTTATTTATGATGAAAAAAGCATTACATTTGTGGGTGGAAGACATGAAAAGGAACATGTTCTGATGGATGGCAGTCGGGGTCAGTACTATCCCCTGTTTCAGGCATCTGCTGTGGGTCTTGGAATGTATACCCCGCAGACAAGGAGGGACTACTCTATATGTATATATACCCCTGCACATACACATTCACACATAAATTTGCATGTGTTATTTCTGGTGGATTGAAATAAGCCATTATTTATGGAACTAAATGTACCTTCTGTATATTCTTAAGAAGTAAATGGAGCTTTCTAATTCTGGGACTTGGTGGTGTCTAAATTCTAAATGAAGAGAACAAGCTTAAGAACCCAGCATCGTCTGGCCTGAGGATTCTGTGTCTGATGCTGCTCTTTCCAAATCTGTTGGGAAGCCAGCAGTCACAGCTAGACAACAACATACCGATGCTTTTCCTGCAAATGAAACTCCCGCTGGGTGGCCAGTTGATAACTGCCATTGGGATCAGATTCGTGTGTGAAATGAGAATTCATTGCCCGGGGTATAGATAATTTCCCAGTTGATATCTTCTTTTCTTCTGCACCCACAGTGAGAAGTAGCAGGGCCTATGACTATCATAAAGTCTATACAGGTTGTGAGTGAGTTACGGGATCCTCCGTGGTTGTACATTGTGGGTTGAGGTGTGGAAGAAGATGTGATGGGGAAAAAGAAACAGCAAGAACTTCTGAGAATATTCGTGTCATTTTGGTCCCTGTGGTCCTAGGAGCAGATTTATTTAGAAATGCTATCTTCTATGCAACCTCTTTTCTTTGTCACCTGAGTTCCTGCTATCACTCCCTTTTCTGATTTGCAAAATTTTCTACGCATGCCTTACAACTCACTTCAAAAGTTGACTTCTATCACACATTCTTCAATTTCACCAGCACAAATGATAGTATGACCATAGCATTTCTCAGATATTACTGTTGCAGTATCTATTTATCCCTGCACCCCTGATGAACTTTGACTTCTCAAGGATGGACTTTATTCATCCTTGAAACCTCAGCACCAGTTTGTATTTGACAATTATTTGCTTAGTGACAATGAGATTAAAGAAAGGTAGAAGGGGTAATGAAAGGGTAGGAAAATCAATCTATAAATACAACCTTGTTGGAGTAGTGTTTTCTCTGCTGACATATACATATATATATATATATGCTATATATATATATTATATATATGCTATAGATATATAATATATATGCTATAGATATATAATATATATATGCTATATATATATAATATATATATGCTATATATATATATATAATATATATATATTGCACATTTTTCTTTAGCCTTTAAGTTGAAAATCAAGTCAAATATACTTCAGGTTGAGGCTCACCCAAGAAGGCAAAGCACTCGATAGTGTTTCCGCATCGTGATGTTTACTGCTTCCTTATGGCTTCAGAGAGGTTAGCACCCACGAAGTACTATGTTTCCTCCCTAGGTGCTTTGTCAAAATATACAGCCATGTCTATGAAGGTGCTGCCTTGTTTAGCCTCAGCATCCACAAAGCTGGAAAGGCTTATCTAGCAGGAGTCTTTTCCAATATGCTACATGCAAAATGGAAACTATTTGCTAAATTGAACACAAACATTGTCCAGTATTCCTAATTGCTGTTTTCTGATAATTATCTCGACGTCTTTAAAAAGCAGGTAGTACGTCTCATAGCAAACATATTGAATATTTACTATACAACAGACACTGTTGTAAATGCTGTAGGCATATTACCTGATTTAACCCTCCTCAGGTATCAGCCTTCTTCTCATTCGACAGACCAGTATTCAAAGAGTTAAGGAATTTGCTGTTGATTCGTGATGAAAGTGGTTTAGTGATTTGCGTGACTCGGTGCCCCATCTTTTGACCATCAAGCTGTATTGCTTCGTTTGACTAATGAGCAATTATCATACCTGATTTTTAATTGAAAACTAGTTTTTTCTATGGGCTTAGATAAAACTCTGAATGGTTTACCTGGTGTCTTTAATCTAGAGTCCAACCGTTTCTAAGGCTTCTGGCTGATCACAACATTTGGAGTCCTCATTGTAGGTTGGTGTAAATGCTCCTTTTATATTCTGCCCCTTGACCCTTACTCCTCTCCTCCTAGCTTTCTTTAATTCTCTCTCCATAGACTAGGGCACTCCAGACAGGGAGTGAAGCTGTTCCCAATTTACAGAAATAGAAACTGAGCTTCGGACCAAGTTAACTGATGTGTTTACCATTGCATAATCCATATATGATAGTCAGAAAGAGAAGGCAGGATACGTTTTTTATATTTTATAACTTCTTTTTTGCAGGATAAGTTTTTATATTTTATAACTTTTTTTTTTTTTTTGAGACAGAGTCTCCCTCTGTCACCCAGGCCAGAGTGCAATGGCGCGATCTCAGCTAACTGCAAACTCTGCCTCTCGGGTTCAAGCAATTCTTCTGCCTCAGCCTCTAAGTAGCTGGGATTACAGGCACACGCCACCATGCCCAGCTAATTTTTAGTAGAGATGGGGTTTCATCATGCTGCCCAGGCTGGTCTCAAACTCCTGAGCTCAGGCAATCTGCCCTCCTTGGCCTCCCAAAGTGCTGGGATTACAGGCGTGAGCCACCACGCCTGGCTTTATATTTTATAACGTTCTTCTTCTCTGTAATGAGTTGTTGATTGCAATTTGTTTTCTGTTAGATTGATTTCCACATGAGAATTTGACACTGTTAAACTAAATTTAAGTATGTTGATTGAATGAACAAAGATATTAAACTATTTACTTATTCTTGTTGCCAGGTCTCCCATAACAGAGCTGAAGAAACTAATGAAGGAGTACGAGAAAGCCCCAGATGGTTTTCAAGAGGCAGCTTCTGAGGGAATTTGTAAAAACTATTCTCTCCAGTATTTGTCACACACTTTAAAGTTCATGTCTTACATGTTCCCTTGCTCTCGCTACCTCCATTTTGTTTTCTTTCACAAGGTAGAACATACAAAGTGGAATATTTTATTTATCTCAGGCATTCTCAGAGAGAAAACTGCTTATGCCGATTTTGTTTGTCTAAACATTTTATTTTCCTCTTAGATCTGATCCTAATTTTACAGCAATCTTGGCTTGGAGCTAAAGATATACCAACCGCTAAATTCAGAATTGTTGTGACTTGATAGACACCAGGGGAGATACTATTTTTGTTCTTCTTTAGACATTGTATTTTCTATTCCTTCCCTTCTACATTTTAGGCTTTTAAAAATATAAGTAGCCATGCTGTTTATGTTACAGGGACAAGGGCTACAGAGGTGGGATAAAACAGTGATATGGTTTGATTTCTCCCTCCCTTAGTCATCAATATCATTTCATGTTATTAGATTTGATATTAGTATGTAACAGAAAGAATACTGAAGAGGATACTTCTCAGTCACCTAACTTCTTTTAGGCCCTTTTTTTCCCATCTGTGAAATGGGTAGATTGTACTAAACAAGGTTATCTAAGCCCCCTTCCAGCTGTGTGGCTCCTGTGTCTTTCTCTGAAGTTAACTGGGAGCATATTTATCATCTAAAAGGGATTTGTAGACCAATATGGAAGTAATGCAAACACAAAGCTCATGTTTTCATGTTTCCAAAGCCAACTCTGGCTTAATTGGGGCTCTTCAGTCTTGCAGTAAATCCAACGCCATTAGCTATGCGGGGGAGCTCTTCCTGGGCCTCTGTGGACTTTCTACAGTACGCACTTCTCTGCCCTTGGAGGACCGCAAGACACACATTTCCATAACCCACTCAATTGTGCCAGGCTAAAAGGTGCTATAGCTGGATCTTTCTACAATTTTGTGTTCTCCCCAAAGTACTTTTAAGAGAGCAGCAATTTTGGAAACACTACACATGCGCATTTAATTGGTATGTGGACTTCTGAGTTCAAATAAGGAGCTTTCCATTGAAGAGTGAACCAAAAAAAAAAAAAAAAAAAATCATAAAGGCTACTATTAGAGCCAGTTGCCCTGAGAAAGTTCTTTTACCTTCCTTCTTTCATTTTATTTTTCAGGAGATCAAAGTGAGCATAATTGGGGGGAATCTTGGAAGTGTGGTCTGTCCTTGCTGTCTTTCTGCCTGCCTGTCAGTGATAACAGTCATTTTGGAGTTAGTCACCTCCTAATTAAGCAGCCTTCAGAAACAAGGACCCAGGGACAGATTCTGGCTCTGCTTCTGCAGCCAGAATTTGGCTGCAAACTTTTAAACCTGTGGTCTGATTTCTGTAGAAGGATCGTTGACTCTGGCACCCTGTGTGTGCCACGCATTTGTAAATCACATTAAATCCTGTCAGGCAGGGCTGGGGATGCAGCTTCCCTGAAGCTCCCAGAGCCTCAGGGGGAACTGGTTAGGAGCAATCCTTGAGGGGTCAGGACTGAAGAGTTTGTGCCTTTAGGGCTATTCTCAAGCCTGGGTCTCCAAATCTTTATTTTCTGGGCACCCTTATTCTGTGCTCTCTCCTCTCACCCTGCCCTTGTTATGTTTATTGATGTTTGTAGACTAATTTTAGCAACTCATCAGGAGCTGCACTCGGCTAATTGTTCACTCCTGGAACCTGGCAGAAGCAAGCTGCCGACTCTGCCAGGGAGAGCTGCCTGGGTCACTATTTAGACACCCCTTGATGGAAGCTGGAGCTCAAAGTACTACTTTTCAATTGGAAGGGTCTTCAAGGTCTGCTGTGGACCAGGGACTCCAGAAAGATCTGCATTAATAAGAACGAAGAGGCTGTGAAACTATGATTTTTATACCCATGGGGTTATAGGTCCCTGAAAATGATTTATTAGTGGTTGAAGAATGCTCCGGCAGCTCTTATCATAGGCAGACAAGCAGGAAGGCAGGAAGCCAAAAGAAGAGTTCCTGTCACTGCATTTTCCGTGATGTCCTTGATTACAGATACCATTGTTTTGCCTCTTCCCTCCTCCTCCCTCGCCTTCTTCCACCAGTCTCTAATTACATCCTTTAATGATTTGACCAATTAAAGCCTGCAGTTCAGCTTACAGGGGAACGGATGAGAAATTAGAGGTTGGCATGCAAACTTCGATGTGGTCGCACTTTTTCCAAGGTTACACACCTCTATTAAGCCAGCAGGCTATTTGAAATGCAGCATAATGGGCGATGCTAATAAAATAAGCGCAGGGACATTTTCAGCTGCTCCCAAGTGAATCTACCAGAAGAAGAAAATGTGAAAAGCAGAGGTGTTTGCATGAAACCAAGGCTTAGCATTTTTTTTCCTCCCAAAAGCGCAGTTGCCAGACGCATTTCTTCGTTCATGTGAAATGTAATAATTGCTTTGTCAGGGTTTGGGAGAAGCAGAGAGCTTTCTCCCCAGCCTCCTGCATTTGCAGGGAGTGGAAACACCGCAGCTCTGCTGGTCGCCATGGAGGAGTGGGATGAGGGGCACTTTGCTCTGGGTTGCAGTTCTGACCCTGCTGGGGGAGCCCCAGGAGATATCTGGGAGCCTGGCAAAGCAGTGGGGTTCAGGAGGAAGGGGGCCGGAGAGAACACTTGATTGTCTCCAGGGATGTGTGAGGGAAAGAGGGAGAAAGAGCACCCTGCTTTCTCTGGTTGCAGCAGAATGTGAATGTATTATCTTGGACAATTGACATTGTTTGAATCTTTTCCCTCCCCACACTCTGTTCAGTCCACCCCAGACTGCTCATGACTCCCTGAACAACTCATGCATATGTGTCCTGTACCATTCCCAGTGATTCCTTCAACCTCTCTTGCCTGCTGGCTCTCACTCATCCTCAGTTTTCACCAAATTTCTTGAGGACCTCCTGTGCGCCAGGGACCAGGGCAGCCAAGAGGCGTAAGGCACAGGCTCAGCCCTGGAGGTGATCAGCTTCTGGGGAATGAATTTCACTCTGTGGTAGAAAGTATGACCTTAGACCCCTCAGAGGCTGCGCTGGGGGAGGTAGGCCAGGATATGAGTCCTGGGCATGGCCATATCTCACCCATTTAGCACCATGAGGAGGACAGAGCATTTCAGGCAAAGGGGATCCCTGGATCAAAGGCACAGAATGCTTAGGAACTCCTAGGAGCTGGGTGTGCCCAAGGGGAAAAGCCAGGGGGATATGGCAGGAGATAAGACTGTGGCAGGGGGCACAGGCAGGGGGCACATGCATGGTCATTGGAGCCCTTGGTCAGGCTAAGGGCTTTGGATTTGATTTTATTTGCAATAGCAGCAAGTGAATAACCCTGTATTCTGCAAACTTCCAACTAACTCTGATCCTGACAATAATCTGCACATCTCATTGAAAAATTTTTTTTTTTTTGAGACAGAGTTTTGCTCTTATTGCCCAGGCTGGAGTACAATGGGGCATTCTCGGCTCACTACAACCTCCACCTCCCGGGTTCAGATGATTCTCCTTCCTCAGCCTCCCAAGTAGTTGGGATTACAGGCATGAACCACCATACCTGGCTAATTTTTGCATTTTTAGTAGAGACAGGGTTTCACCATGTTGGTCAGGCTGGTCTCCAACTCCTGATCTCAGGTAATCCACCCGCCCCGGCCTCCCAAAGTGCTGGGATTACAGGCGTGAGCCACCACGCCCGGCCTGTATTAGTATTCTTTTAACTCCACAGAAGAAAGAGCATGAGGAACTTCTCAGATATCACACTACCAATCAGTAGCAGGGGTATAAAATAATTTGGTTACCTGATTTTAGTCAACAGCTGCTTATACTAAATTATACTCCATCCTAAAACAGCCCTGACCACACTAGTTTCAGAAAGTTATAGCTGCTTTCAGGGTATCTTTAACACGGGGGATATTCATTATACGTTTCTAATGCATTGGTATTATTGATACACGATTACATATAAAGAAATGTACATGCCCAAAAGTTTAAGGAGAAAACTATTTCATAACACATTTTTCTTATTCTTTGCTTTCTTTTCTGTTGTATTTTTTTTTCTTTTTGAGATGGGGTCTCACTGTGCTGCCCAGGCTGGAGTGCAGTGGCACAATTTTAGCTCCCTGCAACCTTCGCCTCCTGGGCTCAAGCTATCCTCCCACCAAAGCCTCCCAAGTAGCTGGGACTATAGGCATGCACCACCACGCCCAGCTAATATTTTTTGGATTTTTGGTAGAGACGGGCTTTCACTATGTTGCCCAGGCTGGTCTCGAACTTCTGAGCTCAAGCAATTCACCTGCCTCAGCCTCCCAAAGTGCTGGGATTATAGGCGTAAACCACCATGCCCGGCCTCTTTTCTGATGTCTTTTGATGCTGGCTGTTTTTTTCCCCCTTCTCTCTGTAATATCTTTAAAACTTTCTCTTAGAGTTCAAGTCTGTCTTAAAGCTATTGTATTGTGATAATATTCTTGCCATTTTACTGTGTTATGCAGAAATCAAGCTATTTAAGATTTTAAAGGAAGCCTGGAGATTCCTTGAATTGCTTCTGTGATGAGCCTATCAAGGAGCGATCTGGTCTCTGTTTGGACATCACCCATGATGGGGAATTCAGTATTCTTAGGGGAGCTTCATTCTAATTTTAGATAATTTTCAAGGTGCGGAAAAGATTTCCATTCCTGAGCCAAAATTTCTTTCCCTGAGTCTTTATTCCTTCATGCATTCGCTCATTCATGAACGGTTATTGGTGCCTACGCATACTCAGCACTACTGTGGGCCTTGGAATACAAAGATGAACCAGCCTTATTTCCTCCCCTTTATCTCTGAGCTGGTTTTCTCTAGGACACGATGTCTTTTTACTCTTATTTCCTAACAAACCACAAAGACCTTTTACAAAGCAGTTCTCAGGTTGGTTTAATCCAGCGTTGAAGACAGTCACTGGGAGCATCTTCCCCTCATGTCTCACTGCACCCCCAAAGTTGTGTTAATTGGCACTCGGGCACCGTCTGTCATGTCTTGTTGCTTAATTAAATTCACATTTGTTTTGAGTGTTCCTTTTACTCTGCTTTTTTTTTTATGCATGAGAGGATAAAAACAAATGAGGAAAACATTTTATAGTTAAATTAGTTTGAGAGAAACAGTCCTGAATCATAACTCCTTATCGCTCAGATAGCCTTTTATTTCAATGTCTTTGTTTTCCAGCAAAACCACAAGCTGGTTGATGACTGCTCCTCCTCCTTTCTTCCTCATCAGAGTTTAACCTTGGCCTTGGGTGCTAATTTCTAGTGCCTTCCTCTTAAATTAGAAATATAATAATAGCAATAACACTTTATATGCCGATAAAGCTTCATGTCTTTTCAAGACCCTTTTATGTCCATTACCTCACTATGATTCAGAACTTGGCTCACATGATCTTTCTTTTCTTTTTTCTTTTTTATTGCCCACAATACTATTTGACAGTCATTTTCCTACGACTGTGAATGAGATTTTGAACAGAGGTCAATTTTATTTCCAAAGTGAATTATATTGAATAACAAAGTGTCCCTTTTTCAAGTAAGTATTTATTATTGTATTATTAACAAGCTTAACTATTCGCAAATGAAGTTTCACCAACTTTTCTTTGACCAATTGAGGTCTTGGTAGGGGAAAACGTATAGGTAAGTATAAATTGAAAATGTAAAAACCCATTTGTGTAAGGTTTACAGGGTCAGATAAAGGGCAAAGTTTTCTTTTACCTGAGGGTGAGACTTGGGGAAGGCAGAGTTAAAACAAAACTATGAAGTTAGGCATCAGATATTGTAAAATCCATTGAGCAATTAATAAGTACTTACTTGCATTAACAGCTATCCCATAGGCGACCAGTTTGTGAAATCTGAGGTTTTTGTCTAATTGCCTCCTCCACGGTCCTCTGCAGCACTAGAGTAACAAAAAAATATGCCTGATTTATGGAAAAATTGCAGTGAAAACAATCTCATGAAAGTTAAGAGAGTAGGAATCAGGCTCTGCCTCTAAACTGCTTAAAGTGGGGCTATGTGACACAAAAGTTAATGGCCATTAGTCAAACAGGCAAATCAAAAGGTTATTAGTTGCTTTGCTGAACTCTCAACTCAAAAATGATTGACTTATTAGTTCTCTGTTTATAATTCAAAACTCTTGAATAAGCCTGCCAAAATACATGCCTCACTCAGCTTCTTTGTTTAAAAATTTAAGGTAATAGCCATCATCCTCATTCATGTGTTTTAGGTAGTCTGAAAATTATTCCTACATATACAAAGGCAAATATGCATCTATATATAAATATTCATAAAATCATGATGATGATTATACAGGCATACCTCGGAGATATTGTGGGTTTGATTTCAGACCACTGCAATAAAGCAAATATTGCAATAAAGCAAGTCACACAAAAGTTTTGATTTCCCAGTGCATATAAAAGTTATATTTATACCATCCTGTAGTCTATTAAGTGTGCAATAGCATTATGTCTAAAAAAAGTACATGCTTTAATTAAAAAACACTTTATTGCTAAAAAAGACACAGAGACACAAAGTGAGCACATGGTATTGGAAAAAATGGCGCTAGTATACTTGCTCCACACAGGGTTGCCAGAAGTCTTCAATTTGTAAAAACCATAGTATCTGAGAAGAACAATAAGGGGAAGTGCAATAAAATGAGGGATGCCTGCATAATACAGTATTTTACCTGGTAAAAGTTTTTGAAGGTCTCATTCTCTGCATGCTATTTTGTTTGACAGGAAGCACAGGTAAGTTCCCAACACAGTGAAATCAATATAATTGAGAAATATCCCATTATGTTTGGTAGAGGTTAAAATCTACATAATAAAATCTATGTACTGTGATTATGCTTTTGTGGGTGAGAACCCAGAGAGATGTTTCCTGGTGGCGTTTGTCTCAAAAGCTTATCTGTCTTCTTTCAGTCAGAAACAATGATGGTTCCAGCTATTATAATGCTTCCATCTTCATGGGGCAAATATATCAGGAAACTGTTTAGCAATGAGTTGAGTGTCATGTAGGAAATCAATGGCAACAGCCAAAGCCAAATCAGATAGATGTACTGATTACCGTTTTTCTGTCTTAGCCTTTCTGTTATCTCTAACAAAGAAACCCAAGTTTAAACAGAATTACTGAGAATTTCATAATAAAGTACATTTTTTTTCAATGGCACTTATATGAGGAAGTCGTAACAGTTGAGATTATTTCAGATATTTTAGTACTTACAATACTTGTTCCTCTTATGAATGAAATAAGGTTTCGACTGACAGGTATTAGAATTAGCATGCAGTTAAAATTCAGGCACAGTGCGGATGCTCGTGCCCAAGCCAGTGTTGACTGTCCACATGTAAAGACATAAAAAAGAGATTCAGGGAAAACAAGGATCCAGGGAAAATAAAATGCATTTTGTTTTCTGAAAAAATAATGTTTAATCATAAACTGTACTTACACCCAAAATAACTCGTGTGTAATGGAAAGACTCCTCCTCTTCATACCAGTAGAACGTGTCAATAAACAGATAAAAATTTATTCCCAGCCATGAGAGCTAGAGTAGAAAGGAAAGAGAACCAATGATTACTACCTTCAAGCTTTTTCTCTATTCAAAATCACTTGGGGTTCTTCTTTTAAAGTGGAATGAAGAGCTTCTCAATATTAATCAGAATTACTCCACATATTTATTTCTCATAGATTAGTTTTTAATAGGATTATGATGGTAATACATTATTACCTTTATTAAAAAGATTTTAAACACATATGAGTCAACTTTAAGTGATTTAATGAAACTACAAAACCTTCTTAATCAACGTTGCTTGACAATGATGTCAAGAAGGAAGAAATCTTTAAAAACAACTCCGAGAGTTCTCTAGAAAAGTTCCAATTTCATAGTCTAATTCAAAGACTTCATTTGATTTAGAGAAACACTCATACATTATGCAAAAACAAACTACTTGACTTTAAAAATAATTAAAAATGAGCTCAATCGGAAAACAACTTTGCATGATTCTATAAGGGGAAATTAAATACATCTACTGAATGTTTTCTAACAAGTTTTAGTCTTTTAACTAGAGTAATACTTCAAGCTATTTAGCGTTCCTATACAAGTTTTCCTAAAAATCAAAGACTATTCAATCTATATATTTAAAGTTGAATAACAAAAATGATACTTACTACTAATATGGTGGAGAGACCCTCATTCAAAATCCAGCACCCCATCATGATACTTGTTGCTCTTCGGCTGTCAGGAAATTTCTTCTCCCTCACCTGTGTCTGGATGTTGGGTCGTTAGTAAGGGCTTCCCTAGTAAATTATTTTGTCTTTGTGTCATAGGAAGCACCTGCAGGGAGCAGCTCTCGAGGAATTTCTAATTAAGGACTTCTTGCCAAAGGCACATCACCACACTGACATGCCTCATGACCTGGGTAAATACAAGGCAAGTCTCTGTCTAATGATTCCTTTCGTCAGAGATTTTATAAGAAAAGAAAGCTGGTTTTATTAAATTGTCCTCATGTACTTTATACCCGTTCATTTTCTACATGATTGCAGTCAAGATGATAGTAAGTCTTTATGTAAATCTGAGAAATAACCTAAGTGCTGAAGGCTGCATATAGCAAAGCTCTTTCTCTATTTGTTATTTTTTCCACTTTTTTTTTTTTTTTTTGAGACAGAATCTTGCTGTTTTACCCAGGCTGGAGTGAAGTGGTACGATCTGGGCTCACTGCAACCTCTGCCCCCTGGGTTTAACGGATTCTTCTGCCTCAGCCTCCTGGGTAGTTGGGATTACAGGTGTGCACCATCACGCCCGGCTAATTTTTGCATTTTTAGTAGTGATGGGGTTTTGCCATGTTGGCCAGGCTGGTCTGGAACTCCTGACCTCAGGTGATCCACCTGCCTTGACCTCCCAAAGTGCTGGGATTACAGGCGTGAGCCACCGCAACCAGCCATATTTTTTCCACTTCTTTAATTCCTTTTCCCCTCTTTCAAAAAAGCTCTCTATAGAAGACAAAGAGTGTGGGCTAAATGAACATGAATTAAACCGTCTTTCAGAAGATGGTGGAAAGAGATTCTAAAAAACATAAGATAGAAAACTCTCATATAAATCTAAAAGTGTGACTATAAAAAATGAACTTTTTTGTGGGACTGATGTAATACGTGTCATTAATCACACTTGGTGCACCCATGAGGCAAGTGCAAATATCCTTTCATACTCCAGTCACCCCAGGAGTGGCTGCACGGGAAGCCTCGTCTATCTCTGATTTTGTGTAAGTCATAGTTGTTCAATATAGTGACCATAATTCTACTCTGCTAGGCAAAATTGTCCTAACTGAAGCAATTTTCTGGCTGGTTTTGGCCCAAATATTTCCTTTAAATTTTTTAGACAAGATGAAAATAGGAGGAGAATCAATTTTGGAAAATCAAATCTCTCCTGTTAAAAACCTGGTAAGAGTAAGAATTGTGAATATTCATTTATCTTTATTTACCCAGGTACTATTAGGTTAAGGACTTTTCAAGTATTGTCAGTTAAATCATACATGGATTCTGTCAGGTCGATATTATGAGCCCCGTTACAGAAATGTGGAAACAAGCTTAAATGAAATAACTTGCAGTAGATAGGTGGTTGGGATTTGAATTCAGTTCTCTTTGACTGTAACATCTTCATTTCTAACCATTACCTTATACTGTCTCTTTTATGAAATATTAATATATGGACCTGTGCACCAAAGCATACTGAATATACAGATATAAATTGCAGTGCTGTAAATAGGACATTTAACTTATGGGAATTTAATTACAAATACATGTTGCTATGTGTGATTAAGTACACTATTTCTACATAATGCCAATGAATTACAGAAAAATGGATGTTATTCTATTGTATTAATAATGTTTTTTATTTTCTGCATTTTGGGGTGCATTGACATCTGAGGATCTTGCAGTCTTGGGGAGAAACTGCTCAAGTTAGGGTTAGCTCATTCCTAGTGATAGAAAACAACTGGTTTGGGAGCATGTCTTTGATATGCAAACCAAACACAGTCCAAACCCCTAACCCTCTCTTTCATTAAACTCTCATACATAGAATCAACCTTTCTCCTGCCTTTGATCACCTCAGAGCCAGGTACTGGACGAGAGACCAACCACACCTGTAGCCGAGGGCCTGCAGAATCTATTCAAACTATCCAATCTTAAACCTCCTCCCCTGATTATACAAACTTGCCCCTTTCTTCCCGTGAAAGCCACAAAGAAGGCTCTGCCCCGTGTTCTCCCCTTGATCCTTCTGCCTCCTCATTCATCCTGGTTAAGTATTTTGACAAACAGGTGAGTTTTCTACTTGTCACCCAGCTCTGATGTGTTACCTCTTTTGATTCTCATTTTCCACATTAGTTTAATGGGACTAATAACACCTACCTTGTAGGGTCATTCCCATTCCCCCTTCACTCCTCATCTGCCTAATACATACACACACTCATAAACACACTCACACGTAAACAAGACGATGCTTCTTTTGGAGAAGTCTTGGACTGGCCCATAAAAAATATAGTAAATTGACTTCTTGGAAAGACATCGTTTTTTAGGGATTTTTTCACTGTAGAAATATATGAAAGCATAGGCATTTTTGGCAGCATTGACCTGAGATTAGAGTGCAGTTAGTAAGATATCTTTAGTAGCTTCTTTAACCGTGAGCAATATAAAAGATGTAAAGTCTTTATATTCATTTCTTTAAGCCAATAATCTTCCATGATAAAATGATTTGTTATTTCTGAAGTGTTTAGGATTTACATATCTTAGAGGTCTTATTCAGTTGGGTTATAAAAATTAACTCAGAGAGAATACATCTAGAATTTTATACTATCTCTTCTATTTTAGATTCAATGAGTGTGAGGAAGAGTTGAAATGTTCTTGCCTTCTGTGTTCTTTACACAGTGTTACAAAGGAGAGACTTATATTGCTGAATAATAATGTAGGGTTGGCCGGGCGCTGTGGCTCACACCTGTAATCCCAGCACTTTGGGAGGTCGAGGCGGGCAGATCACGAGGTCAGGAGATTGAGACCATCCTGGCTAACATGGTGAAACCCCGTCTCTACTAAAAATACACACACGAAAAATTAGCCGGGCTTGGTGGCACATGCCTGTAATCCCAGCTACTCGGGAGGCTGAGGCAGGAGAATCACTTGAACCTGGGAGGTAGAGGTTGCAGTGAGCCGAGATCACGCTACTGCAATCCAGCCTGGGCGACAGAGTGAGACTCCGTCTCAAAAAAAAAAAAAACTATGGTCACACTTTTTTGTTCATTGCTTAGAATATTTCTAGTATTACAGTAAAAATAAAACAAAGTTTAGTTTTAAATATTAATCTTTACATGCTCCATCCTTATTTCTAAATGTGATTTCTTTATTCCTCATTTTGAATATGTAAAGAACATTATGTTATGTTAAAGTGTAGCTATTATTCATTTACAGTATACAAAGATGGTTAACAATTGTATTATGGAAGTATAGCTCATGATTTAACTTGGGCATTTTTCTTCATAGATTTTATTTTTATAAAATTTGCAATGATGTTCATTCATATTGAATAATCATATGTGGACTTCAAATTATATTCAAATTCATTCAGAGCTCAACAGTTTTGTATAATTTATGAATATAATTTTTTTCAACTTTTCTATTTTTATTAATACTTTTAAGAGTAACCTGATGACACCAATGATTGTTTTGCAATATTGGGATCAGACTTCCTAAGACTCATGATACCGTGTCTTCTGTCACACACAAAAGTCCAACTCAGTTCCACCTGCGGGCTCCTTTACACGAGCACTCAGTTTTTATAAACAAGGTATTAGGTTGCTCTCATTATTTGTTAATTTACCTGGTGAAAATTCTGGGAGGCATATCATGCCCAGAGGTCAATCTCAGTTTTTACTTCATGGAAGGAATCTGTACAGATCACAGTTGAAATCAAGACTCTCAATCACTTTCTAAGAAATGATTCCCAAGTTAATGGGGTTGTGTTTAAAGAGAAAGGGAATTGTACAAAAATCTACAGAAACAATATAAATGTTCAGATTTGATCTATTTTCACCTATTTGTTTTCATCACTAATAGGTAGTGCTCACTTCATTTCTCAGAATTTTCTCAGAACAAATGAAGTGAAATTTGCCTTGTTTCTGAGGTGGCTACTGGCTTTCTAATTAAATGGGTATATTCGTTGACTCTTCCAGCTCACCACAAAAGATGATGTGGGCTTTTTCCCTTGTAAATCTCACCAGTAACAAACCTACTATAATGGAAAAAGTAGGAGGGAAACAGAACAAATACATTTACAAAAAGCAGGTTAATTGCTTGTGTATGTGAAAGCAAACTCTACACTAACGATGCTACTTTCCTTGACTGGTTTTGCTCTATTATATTTTAGTTATTTTTAGTTCCTCAGTTGATCAGTTGACCTAACAAATAAATACTTTGATCTTCAAGAGCAAGATTGATCACCTAGTATATTTTGTTGCTGCCTCCTGTGATCTAGTTTCCCTGTGGATGTAGCAGAATTCATAACGTATAAAAATAGCATTGCAAAATTATTCTCTCCTAAGCATGAAATATGTTTTTGCCTTTTCCTAAAGCATTTATAAACATTTAAGTACTAAGGTGAACATTAATGGCAACAAAAGAAAAAATGCAAACACATATAATCCCAGATCCTTACATGGTTATTTTGAGGAGTGTTTATTGTGATAATTATGTAATTATATTAGATAAATTATATGTTGGTTAAATTTCATTTTTAAAGGAAAAGAAGAACAAAAGAAAAAAATCCATACATTAACATATATCTGATTTTTAAATAAAATTTAATTAATTTAAATTAGTATTTTACCTTTGCTGAATTAAGTATATTAGGCTTTTATTTCAGAAAACACTGTATTCTCTTAATATCATTTAAAAGTGGCTTGCGTCACAAACTTAGTTTACATTAACCACTGAAGCTTTCCCCCATATCTGTGGCATGATTCTTTCCTTTATCCAACTCTCACAGTCTCAAACAAATACTCTCTGAGTCCACTGCCTGCATCACACAATCCTAGGCACAGCGGGTATTAGAGGTCTGGCTTCTCTATTTGGAAGCTTACAACGCAGCTGGGGAGGCCACAGGTACATGTGCAATGGCTGAAGAATCATTTAAAGGTGAGGCTATCCTCAAGTGGTAGAAATTGCACAGCTGGGGGCTCCTGATACATGAAGAGATCTAGGTAAGAGCCTCCAGGGAGAATCCTTCAGATAAGGTGGATTGAGGTGGCTTTTATAAAAGAAAATAGTGTGAACAAGAGAAGGAGGAAAGTAAGTTTCAATCTCTAAGTTCTCTTGGAGTCTTGTTCATGCTCCTAAAACATCAAGCAGCAGGGGAAAAACATCCCTGCCTCCATTCCTCTTCTTGTAGTCGCTTTTGGTCTGGTCTAAGCCCAGAATGCCTGTTTGGTTCCCTTCCCATTCTCCTACCCTCAACTTCATCATCGCTTACGTACGTTTGCAATGCATGTCTTCTCTCCATTTATCAAGTCACCTAAAACCTTTCTCAAAGTTGATGGGATAGCTGTTTCTGGTAGGGCGTTGATGCTAGGTTACCTGAGGATCCCAGTTCATAAGAGAACAGAGTTGACTAATTCATCATTTTTTAACCCAAATTAAGTGGCACAATTCAGCCCCCAGTTCTGAAAGTTTTAAATGTTCAATTTTGAAATTTGGTGAAAGCCAGGATTATCATGCTCTTTAAGTGTTTTATATTGCGTCTAGCACATATTAGAACTTAATAAACATTTAATAATCCATATAGAACCACATTTACTTCTCTGCTTTTTGACACACAAGACACAGATACAGTCCCAGGGATTTTCAAGGAGTCAGTGGTTTTCATGAAAGCGTAAAAGTGAAAGCAAAGTTTTCCTTTCTAGGCAGTGAATCATTTAACTTCTGAGTTCAGGAAAATTTAAAGTTTAAGAAGGCTAGTCTAGAAATCCCTTCTTTGCATATCCAAGCTGTTCATCTCTCAAAAGTCAAAGTGGATGCCAGAATTCCATAGATTTCATTTTTCAAGATGAACAGTCATATTTGAACATATTTCAAGCCAGATGGTTTACAGTTCATGTATTTGTTGGCGTTTTCCTGCCACAACAACTAAATATTGAAGACACATATTTGTGATGAGGAGCGCACTTCCAACCATCTTTTCCTGTTGCTCTTTCAGGCTGCGTGCTCAGCCCCTCCCCCAGCGCCACATCACTGCATGCCGCAGGGGAAGGCTCCCAGCACTCACACGATGAAGTACATCCATTTGATTTAATAGACAGGGGATAGGAGAAATCACATAAAACAAGCCTCCTCCAAATACATATTTCTTGTAACAGCCATGAATTTTCCGGTAACAAATAAGAAAGCAAATGAACAGCTATTGAAATATTCCCATTTTCACCATCCCTTTAGACAAGCTGGAAAGTTTACTTTTTATCCTCCTAGTACCTTATAAGCCAGTTTGCCAAACTTTGAGACTATTTGATCAGAGTTCAGAAAAGAACAGGAACATCCAACAAAGGTTTAGTATTTTTTTTAATGCCATCAGATATGAAAATAGCAGCTGGAGAAAGCACTGCACATTTGTTCTGAAGGATGCCAACGTCACTCAGCAGGTTCAGTGATATCTCCCTTCCAGGATGATATGACTTGCAGTTCATTTGTCATCTTATGCACAATTTTTTATTATTCTACTCAGTTGTCAATGTTTGCATTATTACAGTCTTAAAGATTCATTTTAATGTGAAAGGGCCATTGGGAAGTTGGACCAAAGCAATATGGAAATTTAAAACATGGAAAATAGAAGAAAGAATGTAAGCACATAAAAGAATTATGTTTGCTTAGTACCATAACAAGATTTCTATGAATTTTCCATAAGCACTTCACAAGAAACTGGCAAAACGGAATAAAGCAAACCCGTCCACTGCCATCATTATAACCGTCACCCAATGACCCAGAACACATACACACAAAAAGACCCAGTAATTTTTTTTTAGATATGGTTTGTAGAGTCCCATATTTTGAATGAAAATTTCCCCTAGAATCATGACCCTCAAAAACGGAGGGAGATCGCAGGGATCCTGTAGAGCAATGTTCTCATGTTACAAAGGAGAAAATAGAGACTAAGAAGATAAGAGACTAGGCTTAGGTCCCATTGCTGTTTAGTGGAGAAATGAGACTAGAGCTGGTGTTCAGATCCACTGGATATTTCATTTTATCACTCGCTCCACTTCTATTTTCATGACTTTGCAGTCTACAGTGGACAGGGATGAAAGAATTAACAAAAAGCATATCCTGAGCGCTCGCTCTGGGAGCCCGAGTCCTAGGCAATGCTGCCTGGGAAGTGCTAATTGGAAAAATGTAACCACTCTCCAAAAGCCTGGAGTATGGCTATTTCTAGAGGGCCACCCAGGTGCCAGGCATTTTATACTATTATATATAATTCTTGCAGAACTATTAGGATGATATGATAAAACCTGTTTTATAGATGAGAAGGATGTGGAGATGCAAACAGGCTAAGTACTCTCCAAAGATCACCTAGTTAGTGAAGGCCAGGCTGAGTTGCAAGCCCATTGTGTGTGATGCCCCAGTCCTGTAGTCTTCCTGCTTGACCATGTTACTTTTAAGACAGATGCACAGATATATGACGACAACTACGGATGGCAACTTCCTTTATCTGCATGAATTCTTCTGTTTTGATTGGCATCCAGAGCTAGAGGCATTTTATTGTGGCCTGGCTGATTAACTTTGAACCAATAAAGAAAAAGTGTTATTCAGAATGACTGGGGCCATGAAGCTGTGTTGCAGTTCCAAGAAAAGAGAGCATCAGTCATCTGGTGCTACTCTGCCCACCTTCACTGAGGATGTAACTCTTGAGCGAGAGTACGTTTTATGTCAAATGTTTAAAAGTTTATACTTAAAGTGTGAATTTTCCCAATGGAAGAATAAAATTTAATAGGACAGTGGTCCTCAAGAAATGCCTTATTACTGGTAGATAATTTAAAACTGAAATTAATTTTTCCCATTGCCCTATTTTTAGCAATTCTTTTGGCCGACAGGAGGAAACAAATTAATTGCTCAGAACCCACATTAGAGTGCTTTTTATTTTTATTTTTTAAATTTATATTTATTTTTAATGAATGGCTCATCATTAATTGTTTTTATTCATAAAATGGAAGAGTTTAACAAAATAAAGAGTTTGTTAGCACACATTGAGAAGGTGGTAATGGAAGAAGTTTCTTTCTGCCACACATGCCCATAGATAAATCAAATCCTAAAAGTAAATAGAAACTTGCTTTCAGTATGACTTAATATTGACTGTTTTCTTTCAGTGAATGGAAGAATTGAACACAAAAAGGAATTTTTAAGCCTATATTTAGAAAAATTTATTGGAAGAAGATTCTTTTTTCCTCCAACTTTTATTTTAGTTTTGGGGGTACATGTGCAGGTTTGTTATGTGGGTAAATTGCATGTCATAGGGGTTTATTGTATGAATTATTTGGTCACTCAGATAATAAGCTTAGTACTTGATAGTTAGTTTCTTGATCCTCATCCTCTTCCACCTTCCACCCTCAAGTATGCCTTGGTTGTGTATTGGTCCCTTCTTTGTGTCCATGTGTACTCAGTGTTCAGCTCCCACTGAAGTGAGAACATGTGGTATTTGGTTTTCTGTTCCTGCATTAATTTGCTTAGAATAATGGCCTCCAGTGCCATCCATGTTGCTGCAAAGTGCATGATTTCATTCTTTTTTATGGATTTGTAGTAATCCATGCTGGATATGTACCATTATCCAGTCCACTGTTGACGGGCATTTAGGTTGATTCCATGTGTTTATTATTGTGAGTAGCACAGCAGTGAACATATGAGTGCATGTGTCTTTTTGGTAGAACGATTTATTTTCTTTTGGGTACATACCCAGTAATAGGATTGCTGTGTTGAATAGTAGCTTTGTTTTAAGTTCTTTGAGAAATCTTCAAACTGCTTTCCACAGTGGCTGAACTAATTTATATCTCCACCAACAGCATATAAACATTCCCTTTTCTCTGCCACATTGCCAGCATCTGTTATTTTTTGCCATTTTAATAATAGCCATTTGGACTGGTGTGAGATGGTATCTCATTGTGGTGTAATTTAGTGGTCCCCAACCTTTTTGGCATCAGGAACTGGTATAGTGGAAGACAGTTTTTCCACAGACTGAAGGTAGGGGATGGTTTTGGGATGAAGCTGTTCCACTTCAGATCATCAGGTATTAGATTCTCATAGGGAGCATGCAACCTAGACCCCTCACACACACAGTTCACAATAGGGTTCATGCTCACATGAGGATCTACTGCTGCCACTCAGCTGATAGGAGGTGGAGTTCAGGTGGTAATGCTCGCTCACCTCCTGCTGCGTGGCCTGCTTCCTTACAGGCTATGGATGGGTACTGGCCTGTAGCCTGGACAGGGGGACCTCTGGTTTAATTTGTATTTCTCTAATGATTAGTGATGTTCAGCATTTTTTCATATGCTTGTTGGCCGTGTGTATGTCTTCCTTTGAGAAGTGTCTGTTCATGTACTTTGCCCATTTTTAATGGGATTGTTTGTTTTTTGCTTGTAAATTTAAGTTCCTTGTACTTGCCAAATATTAGAACTTTGTCAGAGGCATAGTTTGCAAATATATTCTCCCATTCTATTCTGTTTATAGAGTGCTTTTTAGAAGATGGATCTTCAACAAGAGCAATGAACGTATGTTGAAAATCATCATATAGTTGCTTTTGATGTCTAGTTCTACATTCCTCTTTATGTGGTCTCAACCTTCCAGCCAATTTGTGCCATTTGAAGCTCCAGGTGCCGCAGTCCCTAACTGTACCTCTTTCATTTTTTAGTTCAAACTCTCTTTGAGGAGGTAAGGCCACTGGACCCAATAGGTGAGGCATCATGGCTACCCATCATTTGATTAATTGGTACTGGTTGTGAATAAACCAATCTGTACTTGGCACTTCAGCGTTTTATACTTAACTTCAATTTTACCTCTTACCTCATACTGTATTTGTGGTATGACATTCTGTCAGATACCTTCCTGCATGTTTCCCTAGATGGAGCTAGCTTGGCCATAAGCTACCATACTACTCTGCCTATAATTAGTACTTACTTAATTTGCAAGGGCTTTTTGTCTTGGTATGATATTATTGCCAAAAGTGAGAAGATTTCTTGACAAGGTGATTGAGGTGGTACAATATACAATCTGGCTTTTGGCAAAACCATTTGGTCAAACTATGGCTTCGTTCTTGCAATCATGTGATTGCAAAATACTCAACATTGCTCTTGCTGTCTATTTTTCTGCCTCTCCACGCTGTATAGGTAGGTCTTTTTCCCTAAGTTTGAAAACTTAATATTTTATTTTTCTGACTAACCTTGATTTCTTTCCCCCCTCATTAAACTCGATCTCCTTGCTGAGACAACCTGTCCTTGCATTCATGGATCATATCTCATACATTCCTGGCTCGAAATGATACAAAGGAGAAGTGAGGAAAGAAAAAAGGATGAGATTGGATGCACTACAAAATTGGAAATCAGGCCAAGGGAGAATAAGTTTTCTGTACAGCTAAACTCACCTGGTTCCAGATTCTTTCTAGACTATCCAAATTTATGGATGGGCAAGGAGATGTAGAACGTTAAAAAGCTATAGAAAGGAAAAAAATGGCCATTCTGATGTAGAAGCATGAAGATTATCTTTGATCCTTTCTCTTTCTCCTCCTTTGTAGTCTTCCATTTATTCCTTAATTTAACAAACATCATTGAGTGCCATGTTCCAGGCACACTAGGCCCTTGGGTGCCAGATGCATGAGGCATAGGCTCAGCATCCACAGTGCAGCAAGCCAGCCACCATATCATGTTGCTTGATTCTGTCCTGTATCTCAACAGATCCCCTCCCATCCATTCCAGGTGCCCCGCTATATGCCCTTACTACATTTGACTTGCATTTTTTTCAATTACCCCTAATTGACATATCTGCCTGCAGTTATTTTACCTTGACCCCAACTCTGCCACTGGAGTAGTTACTCCAAAGCACAGAATGAATCATGCTGTAACTCCGCTTATATGTCTGAAATGACTCCCATGAGAGACTGGTTCTGAGCTCCCGCTCCAGCTTTGTTTTTCTGTGTCCCAGCACATCCTACAAGCCAGCTATTCCAGAGCCAGCCAGGAGGTCTGTATTTTGTATTTTGTTCCTTCTTTCTGAAATGCTCTTCTTTCTTTTTCTTGCCATGTATTATAGTTCTCCAGTGAAACAGAACTAATAGGACACACACAAACACACACACAAACACACACACATTTGTTTGCTTATCATAAATAATTGCCACACATGACTGTGTGAAATCTGGCAAGTTTGAAATTTGCAGGGTAGGCCAGCAGGCTAGAAAGTCAGGTGGGTTGATATCATCATCTTGAATCTGAATTCTGCTGGGCAGCAGGATGCAAGCATGGACAGGGTTTTTGCATTGCAGTTTTGAGGAGAATCCATATTCTTGGAGAGAACTCAGTCTTTGTTCTTAAGGCCTTCACCTGATTGTGAGAATCACTCACATTATGGAGGTTGTATAAGTCTGTTTTCATGCTGCTGATAAAGTCATATCTGAGACTGGGAAGAAAAAGAGAATTTAATTGGACTTACAATTCTACATGGCTGAGGAGGCCTCAGAATCATGGTGGGAGGTGAAAGGCACTTCTTACATGGTGGCAGCAAGAGAAAATGGGAGAGAAGCCAAAGTGGAAGTCCCTGATAAACCCATCAGACCTTGTGAGACTTATTCATTATCATGAGAATAACACTGGAAAGACTGGCCTCTATGATTCAATTGCCTCCCCCTGGGTCCCTCCCACAACACTTGGAAATTCTGGGAGATACAATTCAAGTTGAGATTTGGGTGGGGACACAGCCAAACCATATCATTCCACCACTGGTCCCTCCAAATTTCATGTCCTCGCATTTGAAAACCAATCATACCTTCTCAACAGTCCCCTAAACTCTTAACTCATTTCAGCATTAACCCCAAAGTCCACAGTCCAAAGTCTCATCTGAGACAAGGCAAGTCCCTTCTGCCTATAAGCCTATAAATCAAAAGCAAGCTAGTTACTTCCTAGATGCAATGAGGGTACAGGTATTGAGTAAAGATAGTTATTCCAAATGGGAAACATAATTGGCCAAAACAAAGGGGTTACAAGGCCCATGCAATCTGAAATCCAGAGGGGCAGTCAAATTTTACAGCTCCAAAATTATCTCCTTTGCCTCCAGGTCTCACATCCACGTCACCCTGATACAAGATGTGGGTTCCCGTGGTCTTGGGCAGCTCTGCCTCTGTGGCTTTGCAGGGTACAGCCTCCCTGCTGGCTGCTTTCACAGGCTGGCATTGAGTGTCTGTGGCTTTTTCAGGTGTACGGTGCAAGCTGTAGGTGGATCTACCATTGTGGGGTCTGGAGGAGAGTGTCCCTTTTCTCACAGCTCCACTAGGCACTGCCCCAGTAGGGACTCTGTGTGGGGGCTCCAGCCCCACATTTCCCTTCCAAACTGCCCTAGTAGAGGTTGTCCATGAGGGCCCCGCCCCTGCAGCAAATTTTGCCTGGGCATCCTGGCATTTCCACACATCTTCCGAAATTTAGGCAGAGGCTCTCAAACCTCAGTTCTTGACTTTTGTGCACTTGCAGGCTCAACACCATGTGGAAGCTGCCAAACCTTGGCAGCTTCCACCCTCTGAAGCCACAGCCCAAGCTGTAGGTTGGCCCCTTTCAGCCAAGGCTGGGATGGCTGGGACATGGGGCTCCAAGTCTCTAGGCTGCAGACAGCACAGGGACCCTGGGCCTGGCTCATGAAACAACATTTTCCTTCTGGGCCTCCAGGCATGTGGTGGGAGGGACTGACGTGAAGGTCTCTGACATGGCCTGGAGACATTTTCTCCATGGTCTTGACGATTAACAGTGGGCTCCTCGCTACTTATGCAAATTTCTGCAGCTGGCTTGAATTTCTCCCCAGAAAATGGGTTTTTCTTTTCTATCACATAGTCAGGTTGCAGATTTTCCAAACTTTTATGCTCTGCTTGCCTTATAAAACTGAAAGCCTTTAACAGCACCCAAGTCACCTCTTGAATGTTTTGCTGCTTAGACATTTCTTCTGCCAGTTACCCTAAATCATTTTTCTCAACTTCAAAATTCCACAAATCTCTAGGGCAGGGGAAAAATGCTGCCAAATCTCTTTGCTAAAACAACAAGAGTCACCTTTACTCCACTTTCCAACAAGTTCCTTATCTCCAACTGAGACCACCTCAGCTTGGATTTTATTGTCCATATCATTATCAGCATTTTGGGCAAAGCCATTCAACAAGTCTCTAGGGAGTTTCAAACTTTTCCACATTTTCCTGTCTTCTTCTGAGCCCTCCGAAGAGTTCCAGCCTCCACCTGTTACCCAGTTCCAAAGTTGCTTCCACATTTTTGGGTATTTTTTCAGCAACGCCCCACTCTATTGGTACCAATGTACTGTATTAGTCTGTTTTCATGCTGCTGATGAAGACATACCTGAGATGGGGAAGAAAAAGAGATTTAATTGGACTTACAGTTCCACATGTCTGGGGAGGCTTCAGAATCATGGCGGAAGGCAAAAGGCACTTCTTACATGGCAGTGGCAAGAGAAAATGAGAGAGAAGCAAAAACAGAAACCCCTGATAAACCCATCAGATCTCGTGACACCTATTCACTATCATGAGAATAGCATGGAAAAGACTGGCCCCCATGATTCAATTACCTCCCTCTGGGTACCTTCCACAACATGCAGAAATTCTGGGAGACACAATTCGAGTTGAGATTTGGGTGGGGACACAGCCAAACCATATCAAAGGGTAATATACTTTACTCAAAATTGGCTGACTTAAATTTCAGTCACATCTAAAAATACCTTCATGGCGGCATCCAGACTGTGGGTTGACCAAAGAACTGGGCAGTGTAGCTTAGCCAAGTTGACACATAAAATTAACAATCCTATGTCTCATAAACGTAACCCCCTTCAAGAACTGGGTCAAATATGACCTCCTTTGCAAGGTTTCTTCCTCAGCCTCGTGTGGAAAGTGCTAAAAAGCTGTGTGGTAGCTCAATGAACAGCAATGCCCCTAGGGCAGCAGTGTGCTCAGCCTGGGGATAAGGAGGATAGGAGTCTTAACAATTTGGAATTTCACCGGGAAGAAAGAGATGTGAAAAGTCTTCCAGGCAGGGGGAGAAGCAGTTACAAAAACAGAGTCACAAAACCAGATGGGTGTGAGGGAACTGCCAGCATGGAAACAGAGGTCAATGGTGAAGACAGAGCAGGCAAGAGGAGACGGGAATGGTAGCCCGGGCCAGGTCACCCAGGGTCCTATTTGTTTCCTCATGCTGCCATCACAAAGTTCCCAAAGTTGGAGCTGAAAACAACAGATTTTATTCTCTCACAGTTCTGGAGGTCAGAAGTCCAAAATCGAGGTATGTGCAGGGCTGGTTCCCTTCGGAGACTCTGAGTGAGAATTCCCTCTGTTCCTGTCTGGTAACCCCTGATGGCTGCTGGCAACCCCTGGCGTTCATTGGCTTGGGGCTTCCTCCTTATTCCAGTCTCTGCCTCCATGCTCTGTCTTCACATGCATTGCTTTTCTCTGTGTGTCTCTGAATTTCCTTTTCTGTGTCTGATAAGGACACTTGCCATCATATTGGAGTCCTGCCCTAATGCAGGAAGCTCTTTCTTCAAGATACTTCCTTTAATTATAGCTACAAAAACTCTTATTCCAAATAAAGTCACATTCTGAGGTTCCTCATAGGCATATCTTTTGGGGGGTCATGATTCAACCCACCACAGCCTTCTAGGAAAAATAATAAATTTGGATCTGAGCCTGTATTCAGGGACCACAGATCCAGAGTCCAGGCAGCCTCTGTTAATGAGTCAAGAGGGCCAGAGGTGCCTGAAGCCCCACAACTGACCAGAGTGGTGACTTCATCTAAAGGGGGCAGCCTCTGCTTGGCTCTGGAAGGAATGTGGGCCAACCTTATTACATCTTTTCAATTTTTAAAGGAAAGTCACATTTCTAGAATTTTACATGAAACTCTCTTTAATTTGGAAACAAACTCAAATTAAAACAAAAATAAGACTAAAATCTCAATATGAACCCGAGAAACACATCTAGTGGCTGGAAATGGCTCATGGAGCCCTCTCCTGCACCCCCCCTGCCTTGGGGCTTCCACTGTAGGGGATGATAAGCCCTGAAAGAGCATGAAACACAGGGGTACTGGCCCCAGACTGCTGTATCAGAGGGTGACCTGGGTGTCAGGGTGGAGGATAGACTGAAGGGAGTGAACCTGGGAGCTGGAAGGCAAAGTAGGAAGCCCTCGCAGTAGATCGGGGAGGGCATGTGGATTAGTCCATTTTCATACTGCTATGAAGAAATACCTGAAACTGGGTAATTTATAAACAATAAGAGATTTAATGGACTCACAGTTCCACATGGATGGGGAGGCCTCACAATCATGGTGGAAGGTGAAGGAGGAGCAAAGGCACATCTTACATGGCAGCAGGCAAGGGAGTGCATGCAGGGGAACTGCCCTTTATAAAACCATCAGATCTCATGAAACTTATTCACTATCATGAGAACAACATGAGAAAACCCGCCCCCATGATTAAATTACCTCCTACTGGGTCTCTCCCACGACAGATGGGGATTGTGGGGGCTACAATTCAAGATGAGATTTGGGTGGAGACACAGCCAAACCATATCAGTGTGTGAAAGTTAACGCAGGAAGTGGTAGCCCCTAACACATTGTTGAGCCCCATATGAAGGCTTACAGAATGAAAGCATGAATTAAGGGAGGCTTAAAAAATCTGCTATATGAAATAATACAATCTATGGAGGCAGAAGTTTTTTTCCTATAGAATTATTTCAAATATCAAAGAGCTCCTTTTTCTCTTTCAGGAACTACATTTATCAACTATCACTCTGCTTTCATTTTCAAATAAAAAATATAACCATATACACAAATAATTAAATTAATATAGCTTATTATGACAAAAATAATTTCTTTTAACTTTGTGGACAGCACCACATTTTATATTAAGCTGCTAGTACTCATAACCGTATGATTTCAAAATCATCCAAGCTTGAAAAATTATTGTCTCTGGCATTACCAATGATCAAAGCAACCCCAATTATAATATTATATTAACCAAGCTAAAAAACAGTATTACAATTTCTAACCTTTCTGAACTGTAATTAGTCACCTAACTATGTATCCAAATTTATTTGATATGTTTGCATAGTTAATTAATTATGATTATTTAAAAGTATTTCATTTGTAAAACTTTGCTCTCCTTAGCCTACAAATCAAATTGCCAAGTGATAAATTTAATTTTAAAATATCTTCTTTAAATCATGTTAAGTTATAACATATGTCTTTAAACAAGACATATAAGACAATGTTGAAACAAACACAATTCTTTCTCTTTTAAAAAATTGAACTTTAAAAATGGGATGGGGGTTAAATTTGAGGAATCTGGTAGCTTAAATGAAAAGGCACTTGAAGAGACTCAAAGTCTCCTTCAGAACAATTTACTAAATAATGATCCGGCCAGACAGTGCCCCTAAGAAGTGCTTGATGCACACCTAGAGAAAAAGCTTTCAGGTCTGTAGCTTCTAGTAGGTTTTAAAGGGTATATTATGCATTAGGTGGAGTCACATTACCTAGAATGCAATAAGGCATTCTCATTGAGTCTCTGAGAATTTAACTATCATGTTAAAGGTAAAAATATTACAGAACGTACATTAAATGTTTAAAAATCATTTGAAATAATGACCGAAAATTAAACCGGATATACATCTACATGAACTCCAGTTTCTAGGTGAAAAATTGCGGCAAATATTCAGATGTATGCAAATACCAAAATATCTGGATGAAGAAAGCTTCCAGATGTTACCTGGATTTCCTGAACTGTGTGAACCTATCTGTGGAAGTTTACTTTTTGAGACTTCTGGTCATAGCTGTGACCTTCATGGGTGCACGGAGCTCCACTACTACTTAAAATACATAGAAATGCCAGCTATAATATTTTTAAATATTAAGAAATACATAACCAGGTTTATGACAAGAATGGAAAACTCTAGGTTCCCAAATGCAGAGTGTATACAAAGCAGTAGGGATGCTTTGGGGTTCCAGGATGGAAATCCACCTTAAGAACCATGGGTTAGAGAACATGCCCCAGGCATACACACAACATGGTACCAGGTTTCCAGCCTATTGGAAGAAGCTGTGAAATCACTGCCCTTTCTATTAATAGGATCAAAAATGTCTTTGCTTAACTGTAAGCCTGGGAGAGAATGGTTCATTCTTTATTGTGGGAGGAAACAAAAGTATCTTGAGAATTGTAACCCTAAACTTATCTAAAAGGTGATGAAACACAGAGCCACAAATTTATGTAAAAGTGGTTCCTAAGTAGTGAAACCTCCAGGGGCTTGGCAGAAGCACTGGTAAATATATCATGCAACGTAGAGCTCTACTGTTGAGTTTCCCTTAAGACAGAAATGACCTTACATATAGAAATTTTAATACATACAAGGTTCAGTACAAAGCAAGATAGTCCATAGGCAATACATAGGGTATTGTCTAAATGATCAGGAATAATAGAGCAATAACTACACAGAGAGGAATTATTGCAAGTTATTTTTTAAAAAGTAATTTGCCTACATTTTGAGGAATATGCTATAAGAATAAAATAAGTAAAATATAATTTTAGTGGAAATATTTTTTTCAAAATGGTTGTGTGTATTGAAGGATAAAGAAAAATGAATGTTTACATTGGTGTCCTTGAGAACTAAGGTTTTCTGTGTGGGGGAAAAAAGATGCAGAAGTGAGATCAATGAGGCCAAGCAGAAATTCTGTAATTATGGGTTTAAATGAGAAGTATCAGTTAAAAAAAAGATGTATTTTATTTAAAATATTATTTTCTTTTGTAAATTTAATTTAACTTAATTTTAAGTTCCGGGATACATGTGCAGGATGTGCAGGTTTGTTACATAGGTAAATGTGTGCCATGGTGGTTTGCTGCACCTATCAACCCATCACCCAGGCATTAAGCCCCACACGCATTAGCTATTATCCTGATGCTCTCCCTCCCCGCAAAGATTATTTTCTATCTATGTTCACTGAAAACGTCCAGAAAAAATAAGAACAACTAAGTGCCGAAGAGCAACGAGTATCCCTTGGCTGACGTTGTGGTTTCTAAATGCCATTTATCGGTAAAAGAAACCACAAATCCATGGAGAAATGGCTGAGTCTAAGATTGCAGCAGGAAGTTTATAAGAGCCTAGAATATTTAGTCACATAAGAAAGCAAGGAAGCTGGCAAAGACGCCAAGTAACATGTCAAAGAGCCTGAAGATCAAATTGAAAAAGTTACCACTGGCCAGATATAGGATAATTTGAGGACCAATAAAAATAATAACATATCAAATAAGTTAAAATGCATGAGTTCATAAAGATACTAAAAAACAAGCACTTCATTTGTCACTTTTGGAAGCTGTTGGGGCACCAACTTATTTTGGAAACTGATAAATAAAGGGAAAAAATCAAACATTTTAACATTTTTGTGTTATTTTTCTGTTTGAACTATACCTGGGGTAAGCAGATAATTGGCAAAGAGAATTCTCTTTTTAGGTGTACTGTAGTCAAGCTTATGAACTCAAAGGAAATAATTAAGAATGATCACTTTGCAACCCCTAACCCGAACCCTAACACTAATCCCAACTTCAGTGGACCTAGGAAATTTATCATCATTGGCTGCTAACACCACAAACAGAAATTCAATCAGACATTATGAATTTTTCATTGTGCATAATATTTTGAAGTATTTTGCTAAATAAAATATTAAACCTTCATTTGATTGGGCTTCTATATCTAACCATAAATTTGCAGAAAATATTGGGTATAAAGGATATTTAAAATAATATCCAGATGCACTTAGAAAAGTCTAGTCTGTGAAATGCTTTATAGGACAGCCTACTTAGTTTCTTCAAACAACAAATCACAATTCAAAAGTTGGAGGAAATCTCTAGATTAGAAGAAAGAAGAGATATTAATAGTTTCATTGTATGGATTTAATAAAAATATAACTGGAAAATAAAATCATAAAAAATTATGAAAGAGCAAAGAAAATTGGACACTGAGTCGACCTGCTAACATTAAATAATTTAAAAAATACCTTCAGGGATGGCAATGTTACTGAGGTTATATTTTAGAAAGAGTCCTTATCTTTTAGAGATATGTATGGAAATATGCATAGATGCAATGACACAATGTCTGAGATTTACTTCAAAACAATCAAGGGGTAAGAGGAAGTAGGTAGGGGTAACAAAGGAATACAGATTGGAGCAGAATTTATTACTTTTGAATCTGGGACAGGTGCATAGGGATTCATAATATTATCCTCTCTAATATTTTCCACAATAAAAAATTCTAGAAAAAGAAATAACAGAGAGATGTGAAAGAGACTTGAAGGTAAACATGTTTAAAATAGAGTTATAAGAGGAAGATGGTCATTAAATAAGAGCATGAAATAATGAAAGATAAGTAAGACAAAATAATAAAGATAAAAGCAACTAACCCAAAAATATAGATATTTTTAAAGCATCAGAGTATACTATAAACAACTCTATAAAATTTAGAGCACTAGATAAAATATGTTATTTTCCAGAAAACTAGGGATTAGTGCAGTGTATTCAAGGAGAAATAGAAGATGCCAGTAGAACAGTAATTAATAAAGACATGCATTGATAATCAAAAGTCTACCCTGTTCTTTCCTAATTCAGTGATCAGACAACAGGTCCAGGTAGTTTTACAAGAGGTTTATGGAAACTTTAGAAGAGGTCTCCCTCACAAAAGTAATTCCATGCTAGTATAATCTTGATAATCAAACTAGATAAAGAAAATACAAGAAAAGGAAATCATAGACAATTTCATTTTGAAACGATGTAAAATTCCTAATTAAGATATTAACAAACTGAATATAAGGGTATGTAGCAAAATCTATTAGGGCCAACTAGTGTATATTTGAGGAATGCAAGGATTTTTGCAGCCATAAAAAGGAACAAGGTCATGTCCTTTGTAGGGACATGGATGGAGCTGGAAGCCGTTATACTCAGCAAACTAACACAGGAACAGAAAACCAAATACTGCATGTTCTCACTTATAAGTGGGAGCTGAACAATGAGAAGACATAGACACATGGAGGGCAACAACACACACTGGGGCCTGTCGGGTGATGTCAGGGGGGTGGTGGGGAGAGCATTCGGAAAAATAGCTAATGCATGCTGGGCTTAATACCTAGGTGATGGATTGCTAGGTGTAGCAAACCACCATGGCACACGTTTACCTATGTAACAAACCTGCACATCCTGTGCACATACCATGGAAGTTAAAGTTTTTTTAAAAAGTGAACAAACAAGAAAGAAAACTCTCTAATATCATGCACTACATTAGTAAATTCAGATCAAAATCCATATGTTCATCTCAATAGATGGAGAAAAATCATTGTATAAAAACCAATACTTATTTATGATAAAAAATTCTTAATAAAGTAGGAATAGAGTCAAGCCCTTAAACTAAAGAAAATCATCTAACAAAAGTTATATTAAACCTTATACTTGATGATAAAATTTAAAAACATTCCCATTAAAGCACTGCATAAGGCATGGATGTTCACTGTAATCATTCAACCTTGTTCTCATGAACCTAACCAACAAGATGAGACGAGAAATAAAACCTCAATGTATAGAATTGTAAAGAAAAAGATAGACTGCAGATGATTATGGAAATATACAATCCAAGAGAATCAACTGACAAAATATTATAACTACTACAAAATTTTAGGAAAGTTACTACATAAAAGAATAATGTAGACAAATTAATGGGTTTTCTATTTCTAAAATATCCCATTTACAATGGCAATAAAATTTCCGAGGTACCCAGGAACAAAATTAAAAGATGAGGCCAGGCATGGTGACTCACCCCCATAATACCAATACCTTTGAAAGGCTGAGGCAGAAGGACTGCTTGAGGCCAAGAGTTGGACACAGGCCTAGGCAGCATAGTGAGACCCTGTCTCTAAAAAATCAAAACAAAACAAAAAAAAGATAAACTCTTATGGAAAATTTTGTTGAAGAACATCGAGGTAGAATTAAAGTAATCAAGAGATAAACCATTTTTATGAATGGGAAGACTAACAACCATAAAAACCAATTTTCCCCAAATCAGTCTTTAGATTCAATACAATTGCAATCAAAATCCCACCACTATGTTTTTGAAATTTCAGAAACAGATTAAAAATTTAGTATGAAAAAGTAAAAGTCCAAAAATATCTGCAACAATTCCAAAAACAAAATTAAACAGGAGAAACAGACAAAAGCAAAGACGGGCTAATTGTTGGATCAGGTACCAAGAATTGATATAAAGCTTTATATAAAAAAATACACATATATAATATAAAACTATGTGGTTTTGGGACACAAATAAATTGCGGAATAGTACAGAATATAGTGTCTAGAAGCAGATTCATTGCATGTGAGAACTTATATGACAGATTGCAGCGCAGAGGGACTGTTCAATCTACATTAAAAAATAAATGGCTTTCATTATGGTAAAAAATATTGTTAGGTCCCTTCCTCACACCATGTACAAATCAGTTCCGTGGGATTAAATGTCTTAAGTTAAAAACCAAAATTTTGAAATTATTGGATTAAAATACAGAAGATAGATTCATCTGGAACTAGAAAAGGATGTCTTAAGCAAGATACAAAAAGCACAACTCTAAAGAAGATTTATAATATAGATAAGATACGTAAATTTGACCATATGGAAATTAAAGTTCTAATATATACACTAATAAATACCATATGTAGTTAAAATAATGTGAAAATTGAAAGAAAAAAATTTAACATATTTAACTGGCATAGGATTAGTATCTTTAATATAAAGAAGATACAAAGAAATTCTAGAAATCTATAAGAAAGATACAAAGAAACTTCTAGAAAACTAGGCAAATAAAACTGGACAACTTTGAGAAGAGAAAATCAAATTGGTCAACACATGTAAAAGGAAATTTAACTTTATTAATAATCAGAGAAATAAAGCTGAAGAACAGAGTACCACCTTTTCTTACTAATTTGGTGAAAATTAAAATGCCAGATTATACTGAGTTGTCAGGCAGAAAGGAAAAAAAAAACCTCTTATTATCTGCTGGTGGGAGTGTTGCTGTAACCACTTTGGAGAGCCATTTAGTAGCATGCAATTGATTGGGATATTTGTGAACCCTACAACCTAGCACTTCTGCTAGGTACCTGCTTTAATGAAACTCAAACATGTATCCAAGGAGATATACACAAAAAGTATATTGCAGCTTTTAAAAACAGTAATAAATTTTAAAGCACTTCATGTCCATGAATAGGAGTATGTATAAAAGGCACTTAATTCTGAGCTATGTTTTCTATTAGAATTCTTAATATTATCTTCATGATTCTTAATCAAATTCATCTCCTTTTTCTTCTTCTTGAGACAGGGGCTCACTCTGTTACCCAGGTTGAAGTGCAGTGGTGTGATCTCAGCTCACTGCAACCTCTGCCTCTGAGGTTCAAGTGATTCTCGTGTCTCAGGCTTCTGAGTAGCTTGGATTACGGGCATGCAGTATCATGCCAGGCTAATTTTCAAATTAATCTCTTAACCTGGGTTTTGCTGTTGATTTTGTGTGTAGAATAATGTTCTCCCCATTTCCCCAGTGGCTTTCTGTGATTGTATTTCTATATGTTCTTATGGATCCTGAAAAAGGAAAAATTAATCAGAAATTAGAAATAACAAAGCCTTGATTTTGGGGGACAGCCCTAAATAAGAGTCCAAGACTCAGCTGAAAGAAGAAATGTATGGAGTAGATGGAGGAGGATGTGAATGGAGAAGTATTGAGCTGGAGAGTAATGTGAAGCTGTTGGGAGCTGGGGAGGTAGAGGGGTGTGTGAATTGATTTGAAGACCAGAGGCAGTAGCCCTTTAGTACGAAGTTCTAGGCCAGGTTTTATTTTTTATTTGAAATGTAAGAATGATTGAGCAAACACTTTATAAACGGACATGTCGTCTCCATTAAATATATTTTAAAAGCATATATAGCCTTTTAAATAGGGCCCTGTTGTTGACTTTTGGGCGCAAATGCTAGGAGGCTATTTTCTTCTTTGATGATGACATGTTAATTAAATATTCTGATTACATTACATTGTGATTACATATTCCCTTGCTTCAGTCTTTCCAAAGGCAGTGTTTTAGACGATCTTGAAGTAGTCTTTCATAAATTATCACTTAATAAAAGAAAAGAAGCGTAGCCAATTATAATTAAGTGTTCAAGAGCTAACAATTTTTTTCTCTTTTCAAAAATAAGTGCTAGGAAATTTGTGCAGCCTTGTATTCTGAAAGGCTAAAAAAAAAACCCTATAGCAACTGAAAAACAATATTGTTAAACAAATGAGGTGCAAAATTTGATTTACCTTAATATTGTTACAGTCTGGTGGGGGAAATCCACAATATTCTTCATCCTGTCACTTACAAATTAAAAAAGTATCCATTGTTTATTCCTTCCTATAATGCCGTGGCTATTGGTGCAACCACAGGTGTGGTGATTGATCTAAGCTCTTCAATGTTAAGGAGCATGTGAGCATTTGTTGCACACATGCACTGATACGAATTGGCTCTGAGTCCCCACCCAAACTGCATCTCGAATTGTAATCTGCACTTGTGGAGGGAGGGAGGCGATTGGATCATGGGGGTGGGTTTCCCTCATGCTGTTCTGGTGGTAGTGAGTGAGTTCTCATGAGATCTGACGGTTTTATAAGAGTCTGGAATTTCCCCTGCTTGCACTTAAGGTCCTTGCTTCCTCTTCACCTTCTACCATGATTGCAAGTTTCCTGATGCCTCCCCAGCCATGTGGAACTGTGAGTCAAATAAACCTTTTTTTCTCTATAAATTGCCCAGTCTTGAGTATATCTTTATAGCAATGTGAAAATGAACTAATACATGCACATATATGCTAACATATTTATGTCTACTCCTTGAGGACAGGCACTATTTGTATGTATGCATGCTCCCAAGTGCATGCCCAAGGACATGAATTTTGGTTACAATAAATTACAATTCAGGGCGGCTGGTGATACTCTTCTGCTCACCTGTCTTCAATAATTTACAAACTTTCATTTATGTTTGAATTTAGGGTGCTTTATTATGCAGCTAATTTATGAGAAGATGTTAAACTGTTGGTAATTGCTCTAGTAAATCATTATTTAGGTTTATGTCATTGTGTCCATTCAGTTTGGGGTCACTTAAGAAGGTAGGATAGAAGTGCCATTCAGGTTCAGGGTTAGTTTAAGCAAAATTAATTTTCTGACTAGTGGTTTATCTGGATTATGCTGGATTGCTAATTAAATTTCAGGAGTATATAGTTAGCCAAGTAAATGATGTTAGCCAAGAATAATTTTGGAAATTTACAACAGGATACTCCTGAATATTCTAGTAAAAATGACAATGTAGTTAGTTTTGTGTTGTTAGTTAGTCTTAAATCTTTATGTGTGGCATTTTCTTTTGTTTGAATAACCACAGGGCTTGATTATTTGGTTATTCTGTATTGCCAGCCATAATGCTTTTGTGGTGGGATTGATAATTTAAAGGTGGGAGACAGCATAGTTAGGCACACAGTCAGCTGGAGTCCACAGCTTGGCTTCTTGTGAATCCTGGCTCTAAGTTTAGCTGGCTAAATTCAGCTAAAGTATGAATCTTCCCAGACCTCAGTTTCCATAGCTGGGATAGAGGGGATAATTACAATACATATCTTACAGGTTGACTATGAGGATACACTGAAATGGTATACAACAATCCCTGGGCGTAGTGCAGCAGAGGTACATAAAACACATTAATTATTGTGACTGAAAACTCCTCTCATGTGAAGGAAACCAGAATAATCACTCCAAAACATGCCACTTGGACATAAGGATTATTTTGAGCTGAAGGAAATCCAGAAAAAGCAGATATAAGAGCTTCTTTCTCTCCCCTTATTTGCCTAAAAGCAGGACATAAATTTTCAAAGTTGTCTTTTCTCTCTTCTCTACCAGGAAGGACAAGAGTTAATCACCAGTGACAACTTATCTGCCTGAAGTTGACACCAGAGGAATCTATGTAATAAACTCTACTAACTAGTCCTTATCTACCATTAGTTTCTCATACATTTACCAGCCCACATGTGCTGCCATTGGAAGCCTAAAACCACTTTCCTTTGTCTTATCATTTCCCTACAAACTTACTGTTCTTTGTTGAAGATGCTGCATAAGCCACCGTTCCAAGCCACATCTTTGCTCATTCCCAGAGTTTCTCCCACACATATATGAGATATACATGTTAATAAGCATCTCTTTGTTTTTCTCTTGTGAATCTCTCTTTGTTATAGGGGCCCCAGGTGAGAACTTAGAAGGGTTGAAGGAAAGATCTTTTTCCTCCTCTATACATACAACAGAAACCCCCATGTTTCCTTGGTGAGATGGCCAGGAGGCTTGGTGGTGGAGTCCTTCCCTGCAGCCTATGGCAAGAATCCTCAAACCCGGCTGCAAATTTGAATCACTTTTGAAGTTTTTGAAAAATGTAAAGATGCCGGGTAGACTTAAAAATTCATCAGATCAGAATTTCTGGCATTTGGCTAGGATGTCTCTTTCTTAAAGCATCTTGAAGTGATTTTAATGAGCAGCCAGTGTCGAAAGCTACTAGCAAATAAAGACATTCCTTTAAAGAAAACTAAATTTTTGGCTGTGACTTTTGGAGATGCAGGGGTGGGGGTGGGATATGTATGTCTTTCAATTCACTGAGAAGCACCTAGAAAAATAACCTATAATCCCTGCTTTCATTTCCTCACTTACCATTCTCTTTCAAGTGACTGCAGTTGTTTCCACCCCTGCCATGGCACACTTCATAGATGGCTTTCTAGTTACAGAATCTATTGACCTGTGGGGTTGATCACTCTCTTTTTTGCTTCCTCCTCCCTTGACTTTAATGGCAGCTTCATCTGGTTCCCATTCAGTTTCTCTAAATTGTTCCTTATCAGTTTCCTTCATGGACTCTCCTGCCTTTGTCTGTCCCTTAAATGTTGGGGTTCCAAAGGTTTTATTCTAGACTCTTTTTTTGTCTTATGCTACGTGTTCTCCATCAGTAATCTCAGCCATGCCCATGGATCACTCGCATGCTGATATTCCTGAATATTCTAGTAGAAATGACAATATAATAGTGATTTCCGAACTGGAAATTGAGTTCACATGATGATGAGTCCAAATCTCAATTTCTAGTCCAGAACTTCACCTTGAGCACTAGCTTTTGAATTACCAAGTTTATTGTTGTCATTATTGTTGTTGTGTATCTGGGATAGTTCCTAAAGGGGCTTACTTATTTGTTTTGGATTAAGTGAATCTACCAATAGACAAATGGTCACAAAGCTAATATCAGACCAAACAGTTTGGGTTTGATCTTAGAGGCAATTAAAAATCATTGATAAATTTTAAAGCAGCAGACTGAAATGATTATAGATGTATTTTTGGAAAGATAACTCGAACCAGAGTTTAAGAGATGGATAATAGGTGAGACAGATCATAAAGAGACAAGATAAAAATATGGCAAAGCTAATATTTATTGAGTTTGAAGGGGACTAAAATATTCTACCCCCAAAATATGTCATTTTGGCATAAGGATCATTTCGAGCACTTATTTTGCTGCAACTGAAGGAATAGCAGACACAGGAAAGGCTCTAAGAACATAAATATGTATGGAACTAAATATTTTTTTCCCCTCTTGTTAATATGTCTTTCATCAGTTTAATTTGCCAGCCACCAGTAACTGAACCTAAGAGGGTAGAGGAAAAAAAGTTTTTCTTCTCCTATCATTTCATACTATTTTCCAGGCACTGAGGTATGGACTTTACATGCATTGTCTCACTTAATGCACACACTAGCCTGCGAGAAAGGTTTTATTATCATGCCCCATTCGCTAGGAGGAAGACTGAGGATTAGAGAGATTTAGTAACTTGCATGGAGTCACAAAGCAGGTTAATACTGGAGCACTAATGCCAGGAAGAAATTGTGAAGCCTTGAACTAAAGGTTTGGGTGGTAGAGGAGGGAAAGGAAAAACGAATTCAAAGGTTAAAGGAACAGAACTTGGCATCATAAAGGATGGGGCGACAGTGAGGCTAGGGGATTGATATGGTGGTGGTTCAGGAGCTCGAGGTTGCCAAGGCTCGGGGGTTGATATGGTGGTTCAGGAGCTCGAGGTTGCCAAGGCTCAGGGGTTGATATGGTGGTTCAGGAGCTCGAGGTTGCCATCCTGAGCACGTCCATTCATCTTGGTAGGTTTAACAACTGAAAGCTTTGGCCCCACTCAATTATCTGCTTCTAGATAGAACTCATCATTTTACATAAGTTTCCATTGACATTTAGGGACTTACTGTTCCCTGCCTCCACCTTGAAATTATCACTGTTTTCTTCCATCTGTTCACATTATGTAAATTGTGTCAATGCTTCAAGACCTGTATTTCAAGTATTATCTCTTCCATGAAACCTTTCTTCTAATTTTAGTCAATACAGACTCTCTCTCTATTCCTTAGGATGTATTATATACATCCAAAAATTTAGGCAGGTGATCCCAAGTTGTAGCTCATACTGTTTAAGTACATAAACTTCAGAACTGGAAAGACTATTGGCTCAAGTTGTTACCTGTTGACTTGGGCAATGCTATGTTTGGAATGTTTATGTCTCCCCCAGATTTGTATGTTAAAATTCACCACAAAGTGATGGTATTAGGAGGTGGAGACTTTAGAAGGTAATTAGATCACAGAGGTAGAGCCTGAACCCTCATGCATGGGATTAATGCCCTTACAAAGGAGACCCTAGAGAGGCCCCTTCCTCCTTCTGCCAGGTGAAGTTGGAGTAAGAAGACGACTGTTTGTAAGGAAGTGGACCCTCACCAGATTCCGAATCTGTTGGCATGTGACCTTGGACTTCCCTGCCTCCAGACCTGTGAGAAATACATTTCTGTTGTCCATAAGCTACTCCATTTATGGTATTTTGTTATAGTCCTGAGTGGACTAACACAGGCAAGGTAACTAACTGCTTTGAGCTGAGCTTTTCTTAGCTGTGCAATGGACTATCAATGACAATGAGTATGAAGTATAGTGAACTTTAAATAAAGTGGATAAAATGCTTAGCACCTTGCCTGACACAGCACTTTCTAAATGTTGGCTACTACCACCTTTCTTATGAAATGCTGATGTGTATCTCAGTGTTCTCATAGTGTTCTGCTTTGTACTTGCATGCTTTGGCTTCCCAGGAACAATGTAATTATCTCAAGGGCAGGGAAAGTGCTCAGCACATCTGGCAAATGACTGAACACTCAATAAGTGCTGAATGAACGGATGATTGCACAACTTCTTTTGCATTTCATTCAGGGGCTAGCATAATATTGGACTCATACTAGACACTTAATAAACACTACTTGAGTGTTTTAAAATTATTATTAAAAAAACAATGATGAGCATGATCTTATGCCTGATTAACCTAATTGAATGGAACTCCAAATATATTGTAACCAAAGGAATTTTCTCTAAGTTTCATAGCAGCAGAACATTCTGCTGATGCTGATGCCTTTTCTTGGTATCATTACCATCAGTGTGAATATCTTCATCTAGAAATTGATATTTCTTTCATATGTTTGCCTTTGTTAGAACTTGAAGGATGGAGTTCCTTGGTTTGTCAAGAGGATGTAACAGAATTCCTCCCTTCCTCTCTCCCTCTGATTCCTGCTTCTGTCTCTCCCTTTTGTCCTTTCTTCTCCATTTCACAAATGTATAGCACAGGTCTACCATGTGCAAAGCACTGTACCAGCACTGAGGACCCAAAGAAGAACATGAAGATTAAAAGGAGCAAGATACAATCACCAGCTCAAGAAGCTTATAATTTGGGGTAGGGCACAGACCAGTAAATAGACAATTACAGAGCAATATAATAGAAGAAAACACAGTGTTATGAGGCAAACATAAGGACCACTAACTGAAGATTCATTACATCATTTTCTGTCATCCTAGATGTATTCAAGATGTAATTCTCTTAGAGTATTAAGTTAATGTAAAAAACGCATCATTGTGACCTTCAATCTAGAAGATGTAGGGCAAAATTAGGCTGGAGCATCTTTTTCTCCTGTGACATTATACATCTGATTTCACTGAAATATGGTACACAATTACTGGAAACGAGTGCCTGTAAAAGTCCATAAAACCAAGTGACTTTTCAAGATATAACAAAGGTAAAAGGCTACTGGCATCACTGTCTATGAATCATCTCATTATCAATATTCTAGACTTTGAAGTGAAATAATAAAAAGTTTACTTAAAGCAACAGCATCAAATAATTAAGCAATTCTTTCGTATTTAATACTAATATTTCAGAAACAGGACTCCAGAGTATTTCCAGATGTGCATATGCTGATTGATTTTTAGGTTTATCATCCTTCATTTTATAACAGAAATGATTTCTTATACATTGATAGAACGTAGTGTGATTGTAGTGACATTTTTCACCTTGACATTAACTGAAAACATGGTGTAAATGGAAAATTATAGAGGTAGCAAGGCAAAGGTTACAACACGTGTGAAAACATTTTTGTTTATTTGTATGCTGTATTTCATTATCTGCTGTGTTTACTTCTTTTTTAATGTGTTAATTCATATCATTAAGTAAATGTCTCCACATATTCATAAATGTATCCCATATTCCTAATGCTAGAGAATATCACCAATGTATCTGACTTATTACAAGTCAACAGCTACGTATGTATTTGTGCTGCCACCCCTGTGACAAACTATAAACTTGGTATTATTACAGTAGCCATTTATGGAAAATGGAATAATTATGCCGCTGCTTTAAATTATAGGCAGAGTTCTCACTGGAACCATAAACTGCTAATAAGGGTTACATCCATTAAGCGTTAATCAGGCTTTTCTTTCTGCAGTGAGTTGGCATTTCCGTATCTATAAATTTATTTACATAAGAAATTGAAAGCAATCGATGAAGGCTACTGGAACAAGGACCTTCAAATCTCATGAAGTTGTTATCTGCATCATTGAAGATGGCATGGTCCTAAATCTGCTCCCAGTGAGGCTCTTAATGAGTTGTCCTTGGACCCTGACCTGGCCTCACGATCAGTGAAACCAACTTGGTTTTCTGTTACTTTATGCTATTTTCTGAGTCAGATTTGCTAGGTTCCTATTTTGATCTGGCTTGGCGAGCCAATTAAGGGCAGCAGAATCTAGCTGAGACAGTATGCCTTAGCCCTTTAGATCACAGAGGTCAATGGTAAGGGCTCTGGAGTCACATTGCCAGGGATCAGAACCTAATCTATCACTTGCTAGTAATATCATCTTGAGCAAGTTCTCTCTGAACTTCTCTTTCTTCAACACTAGAGCAATAATTGAATCCACCTTTTAGTTTTGTGCAGAGGATAAAGTTGAGAAAGTGTGTGTATATACATGACACTTGACAAGGGCCTAGAACACAGTAAGTGCTCAACAAATGTCAGCTATTGCGAGACTCACACTTTTCAATTGTTAAGATCGATATAAACATGTCAATTAGGTTTGTCCTCTCAGATCCTTATTCTGGTGATCTTAGTCACTTTCTTAGACTAGTGTGAAAATGTATACATCTAATAGAGTAATTGGTGGTAGACATGTAATAGCTCTGAATAGCGTTAGCAAAATGACACAGATATTCCTTTTCAAATTTTAACAAAGTATTCACAATAATTGCCCTGTAGGTGAAAACAAGAGACAAAGGTTAGAAAACATCGCTTTCAAAACAGCAGTTTCAAGGTTAGAGATGCAGTAAAAACTAGTCCTATGAACCGCCAATAAAAATGAAACAATGAACATAGGAAATATAAAGTAGCTAGTATTCTTTGTAATGGACACAAAAAATTGAGTTTTACCTAGTTTCGTTTTGTAAAATATCAACATTAGATTCCTCTGTATTGATCATGGGGTCCTTCCCATTTTCATTCAAGGTTGGCAAATAATTTCATGTATACAAAACTGCTTTGGTTTTCTAAGGTCATAGACATGGATACGGTCTGGTGGAGAGAACATTAGAGTAGAAGAGAGCAGCCCTGCATTCTTACCTAATCTTTTCCTCTAAATAGCTATGTGATAATCTACTGACCCACTCAGGTTGCCCAATGTACAATAAAGGTGCTAGAGTAAATTCTCTTTGAAGGTCCCGTCTATCTCTGATGTTCTGTAAGCAAGGAAATTATTAGGATGTCAATACAGATTTGCAGTTGCAAAAAACCCTTATCTATTTAAGGTCCAAGCCTCTCTTTGGTGGTGTAATGGTGTGTGTTTACACTGACTTGTTCTTGTTCTCACATTTGCAGCATGGCTTATGGCAGAGGAGTTGGGGAAAACCGTCACACTAGAAATATTCAAAATTACAGTCTATTTAAAATAATTAAACAATAGCTCTGTATTGCGCTATTGTGTTTGCATTTAGAATAGAATAGCTATTTAATCTGTATAACAATTTGAAACTAATGATGGTTAAATCACCTAATACTGCTTGATACCAATACAAATTAATATGAAGTTTAACTCCATTTGTAGGAACCTTAGTGTCTCAAGGCACTTGTATTAGATCTCCTCTAGAAAATGATTTAAAAACATTCTGACATCAAATCCTTCTTGACTTTGGGGACTGAATTTCAAAGTACAAGTATTTTCATTATATTGGATCATAAATCTCCTCCATAGGAAGTGTTGTTTCCTTAGATTCTAGCTTTTGGCTTATGCTTCTAAAAACAATTATACTAATAAAAATGTCTAAGCAGAGAAGAGGCCAGAGGAGCAAGTATATTAGAAGCCAGAACAGGACTTTTTGTTTTTTTTTGTGACAGACAGAGAGGAATAGACAGACACCTCTTTGGCATTCAGCATTATAAAACACAAGATTAATGCAGTTCTCAATAAGAAGGCTAAGTGCATAAAATAAAAGAGATGACCATTATCCATCTCAGTGGATATGCCTCCAACTTACGAATCCCAACAATACATAAAAAATACATGATGTTATTAGGTGGTGGAAGCTGGCAATATATTGTCCATAACTTATTTATATAAGGCTGTCCGGAGTAGCAGTGTTTAACTCTGCTGGGTACGCAGATAGGAGGTGGGGCTTGAGTCGTTGTTTGCTAAGTCAGAGGGTAATCCATAAATACTCCTTGAAAAGAGATGAAACTTGGGACTTCTTAACCTGTCTGTCATTATATCCTGGACCAATTCTCAGTTTTCTTACAAGCTTATACTGAGCTGACAAAACAAGAATTGTCTAATCGTTTTGTCTAAATTTTGTACTCAGTTGTTTACCTCACTGATAGGTTTATTATTAATTAATTATTTTTTGAGAAGGGTATCACTCCCATTGCTCAGGCTGGAGTGCAGTGGTGTGATCTCGGCTCACTGCAGCCTCTACCTCCCAGGCTCAAGTGATCCTCCCAACTCAGCCACCTGAGCAGCTAGGACCACAGGTGCACACCGCTACACCGGGCTAATTTTTTGTATTTTTTGTAGAGGCAGGGTTTCAGCATGTTGGCCAGGCTGGTCTCTAACTGCTGAGCTCAAGCAATCCACCCTCATTGGCCTCCCAAAGTGCTGGGATTACAGGCATGTAATCCGCCCTTATTGGCCTCCCGAAGTGCTGGGATTACAGGCATGAGCCACCATGCCAGGCCTCATAGATAGATTTATTAATTGAACAAATGTCACCAAAATTAGGAACTGGTGGTTGAAGTCGATCATAGAGCTATCTGAAAGGACTGCTGCTGTCTCTGTAGCTAAGATAGTGGAGCCGATTTGGGACTTCCCCAGGAGTAGGTATGGTTGGGATATCAGTAGTCTCAACAGAGGGAGGTTGTATGCCATTTGGGAGGGTCCATTGGCATTGATAAGAAAGGTAAAGGAAACAAAGTTCAGCCACAGGGAATCCTGAATCTAGATGTTTAGGGATCTTAGAGCCCTGACAGAGACAGCACACAGTCAGACTAAGGTCACTCATGGGAGGTGTATTCTTTGGACAGTTAGGAGAATTCATGGTGATGTCTACTATTTTCTGTCTCTCCATTCTGAACATTGTATTTCCATGACTACCTCTGAAGTTTTGTCTACATGTAAACTACTTTCACTCCAAAAACAAAAAACAATTTCTGGTTTTAAAGATTTTAACAAAAAAAGATTTTAATTTTTATTTAAGTAGTCATAATAATGAGTGGATAAGGCCCCCAAAATGCCCATAAAAATTGCTAAATGTTTCTGCAAAAAGTACTCCATCCAGAGCTGCTTCTCACCGTTCATCCCTTCACTGTCTCTTTTTGTGGGGACTAAAAGTTTCCCATTAGTACATAACAGACAGTCATTAAACTTTAAACGTGAACACACTCTCCCAATCTATTTGGTAGGAATAGCACATGTCTTTTCAGGTCATCAATTTACAGGGAAGTTAGATCATCTTTTTTCTGGGATACTGTGCAATTGATTTCTCAAAGGTCACCAATGAACTCCTCCAAGTGAATTGAATTTAAAATTTAGCTTAGCCTTAAAGGGCATTGCAGTTCAATGGTCTAAATCAGGGATTAACAATTAAATGCCTGTTTTTCTGGCATACTGGTGACATGAGAGATTTCATGGATGTCCAGGGTCAGCAAGGGGTACCAACTTTTGCTTCTGGTTATGTGTATATTTTTTGCACATGATGTGAGATATATCTGTAGCTTTAAAAATAAATATATCTGGAGAATTTTAAGAGTATTGGACTTTATAATTTAATATGATTTATTCTACTTAGTTAACTAGAACCCCATTTGCCTGCTGAGTTGAGTTGCACCAGGGTGGCAATCTTAACCAGTAGTACTTGTTAGGATCTATTTATGAATCCGCAGGTGTAACCTCCATGCTGGGACATTCTGATTTTTTAGAGCTCTGGATAGTATATTTTGACAAAGTTCTCTGGTGATTACAATAAACAATAGTGTCATACACCTATGTGTGTATATGTATGTACATATATTTATACACATAGATAAATACGTATTTTTCACTTTACAATGTACTGCAGAAATCTTACAACATCAGTGCACATGGTAAGCTCATTCTTTTTAATGGCTGCACTGACTCATTAACTTGATGAACATTTTAAGAGCATGTTTCTTTACCTCTCTGTGCCTAATAAATTTTTCATCTGTAAAGTGGGGGTAATAGCAATACGTACCTTATAAGGTTGTTGTGAGGATTCAATGTATTCATGTACGCAAAAGACTCAGAAATAGATCTAGAAGCTAATAGGCATTATACAAATTTTTGATAAGATTATTGTCATCATTATTATTTTTACCCACAATCTAACATTACTCCTAAGAGATATTAAAATGCACAGACAGAGTTTGTTGTGTCTTCAGGTAGTGGCAATTACATGAGAATTTGGATAATTTTTTTCAAACTTTTCTATCAGCTGCAATCCAATTGTAAGTGGATTCGAGAATGAAGTAGGTAGAGTGTGAAGTTCCCTAGGAAGCAGGAGAACTTAGTTCTTACTTTAATCTGCCACTGGAAGTATGCAACTTTGGACAAGTCATATATAAATTCTGAGACTAAAACTCTCCATGTCCGAAACGAGGGTGTTGGAAAAAATGGTCTCTAAAGTATCAATAGCTTTAACTCCCAGTTAGTGTTGTGGAAACAAAGAGAAGACAAATATAAAGTTTTTCCCAGGGTGTAGGCTTTAAGATGGAGGACACCTTGGTGTTTTCTTCAGAACTGAAGTAGCAATGTCTAGAGTTGCCTTTTTCTCTTAGTAGGCACTCAGGAAAATTCTGTCAAAGGAATGTTAAAAAAAAAAGATACTCAAAATGCAAAGTGAATATCAGGTACACAATGGGTCTTCATACCTTTTTATTTTTAACTGATTATATGAGTTTCCAGAAATCTTTCTAGGAATTAGACCTAAATGCCTATCTTATCTTTGAAAAAAAAATTTAAATAGATTTGATTTTATTGTTAGCACATCAACACATATCTATTTCTATTGCTATATTAACAGACTGTAACTGAATCACGTCGACAGTTGCAAAATACTCTGTCTGGGTTACTTTATTAAACTAAAAGAATGGAAGATGCATAAAAAATTCCATTTATACTTGGTGTGTACTAAGTGAGCATCATGGAAAAGTCTAGTTCCTCTTAGGGAAACCACTTAAATGTAGTAGTCAGTTGGAAGGAACTATTGGACTATTATTTAGAGCAATCCTTTCACACTGATCAATGAAGATGAATTTTTGTAGAGTAGCACAATCAGATGTAGCTACATTATGCTTTCATAACATTAGCATTTGTTATATGATTGGAGAAGAGCCCAGAGATCTTGGAAGGTGAAAGGATGGGCCCCTTGAATCTGTTAGTGCTACTTCCACTTGCCCATTCAAAGTGACTGCTTCCAGAGATCCTATGGCATGTTATGCATCCTTGTGCTTTGAGGCCACTGAAATAGTATTAATTTTTTCATGCTGGAGTATGGATTTTTAAAATGCCAAGTTTCATTTAATTATATGGTGAAACCAAACCACACTTCTTCTTAATCAGAAATATTGTGAGGGCAAAGTAGGGAAACCCAATGAATTATAATAAATAATAGTGAGTTTTCCTATAAAACTTACTGAAAGATGCAACAGGTCAACCAATCTATGAACCTCTGGAGGGTAACAAGACAGTAAACTTGACATTGCACAGTATTTGACATACTGTGGTATTTGACATACAGTGAATCATTATTTACATTTTATCCAAAAACATTTACCTGAGAAAAGGTCATGACGTTAAATTTGGAGACATTTACAGCAATTGCCAAATGTTTACTATCTACATGAATGTCATGCTTCTCAGTCAAAAGCAGGTTGATGTGCTAAATGTCAATTATTTCAACTTGTTTGATGGTAGCACAGATTGCCAAGCAACATAAAAAGAGGTTTAATAAATATTATATACACTACTAACCATTAATCTTGCGTAGCAGAGGCTCGAGTTTTACATATAGAGGATTTATGACAAGCAACAGCTCAGGACATTAACGCTCAATTATTACAGTCCTGGATGGTGGCACTACCATTAGCTCCTGGAAGATCACCTTGTTTCTTCTGCTTCTGCTGCCACTTTGGAGGAGGCATCAGAGAGAATGGAATTATTTCAGGAAATAGCACTGTGATTTTTTTTGTGTGTGTTTTCCAGTCCTTTTTAGAATTAGCAGCAAAGGAGGATTACCCAGAGTTATGTTGGTGGGAAATTGAATTGTTCCATTTTTCTAACTGATTATAAGGCATTGTGATACTCTGCAAGAACTCCAAAGACTTCAAGAGAACAGCATACAAATGTTAAGTGGGATACAATAGCACCAATGGAATAAAAAGTGGTGAGGGAGCCAGCAGCAAGGGAAATGTGAATAGTTTCTAGCATGGTTTATCAGCACTAAAACTTGATGAAGGCAAGTATGAACTTTTTTCCTTTTCTTCTAATCGCCACATATGTACATAACAATGGACTCAGTGATATAACCACAAAACTCCCTTGAATTAAGTGATCAAGGTCAATATTCTGAAAAGAGCTAAAATGAACATGCACATATGCCATTTAGTCTTTCTTGATTTCTTTTCATTGGCATCTGAGTCTGAGAATAAACTCAGGTTACTGGCCAATGTTTGATGCTATCTGATAAGCACTTATTGAGCACTACTGGATGCAAGACATGGTACTAGGCTCTGCTATAGGAGAGCATGTAGTCAGGGAGGAAGATGGTAAAACAGTGCAAGTTAGACCATGTACCTATCACAAGAAAGGAAAAAACACAATTCCCCAAGGGTTTAGGAGGAGAAATCATGAGCAGTAGCAAATAAATCTTCATGGAAGCATTCGTGCTAAAGGCGGGTAGGGCACGCTCACATGGAAGCAAGTGTGGAAGAACTCTCAGGCTGGCAGGACACCAGGAGCTGGTGTGAAAAGGGTTGCATCACTGCAGGTGGGCACAATGGTTAGCTTTGCCAAAGTCAGAGGATTTGTGAAGAGAGTGTGGGATGTCAGCCTAAAAATGTAGGATTAAGGTGGCTGGTGAAGAATCTGGAGCACCAGGTAAGTTTGGTTTTTATTCTGGAAGCAAATAGAGTCACTGGAACTCTGAGCAGACCAGAGCTTGCTTGGTGATGTGGTTTGGCTGTGTCCCCACCCAGAGCTCCTATTTAATTGTATTAAATAGCTCCCATAATCCCCAGGTGTCGTAGAAGGGACTGGTGGGAGGTAATTGAATCAGGGGGGCAGGTTTTTCCCATGCTGTACTCATGATAGTGAATAAATCTCATAAGATCTGATGGTTTTATAAAGCGCAGTTCCCCTGCACATGCTCTCTTGCCTGCCACCATGTAAGATGTGACTTTGCTCCTCCTTCGCCTTCCACCATGCTTGTGAGGCCTCCTCTCTGTGAGTCCATTAAACCTCTTTTCTTTACAAATTACCCAGTCTTGGGTATTTCTTCATAGTAGTATGAAAATGGACTAACACACTTGGCAAAGATTAATCTGGGGTGGGGTGTGGATGGGGGGAGGAGGGTCAGGAGAGTGAAAATGGCATTCTGAAAAGAAGAGAAAAAGGGAGACTCAGAGGGGTTGGAATCAGGGCAAGAGGGGCAAGGAGACACACAGTCTTATTTTTAATGGTACATTGGCAAAGACAATCACAAGAAGCAGTGGCATTTCCTTCCTGGGAGATCCTTAACCTCTCACCAGTCAAGGGAGGTTTAAGTGTCCTTCCTTGATAGAAAGACAACTGAGCTAGTGGATCTCTCCATCCTTACAATAAAGGGATTTCTAAAAATGAGTGCAAAAATTTAGTCAGGAGTTTTCTTCCCTTGACTATGTGAGTAATCACAGAAGAATGCTTATGGTAAGCCTCTTACTTCCTACATGCAAATTCAATTCGCCTGAGCTGTTTTGCGGCTTATGCCAGACGTCTTGAGTCATCTCCCCAAGCAAATAATGTAAGCAGTTCTTTCAACATTGAAATGTGGATTTATTCTAGGACCGGAGACATATTACTAGTATTTTCCAGCACTGGCTCTAGGCTAGACAAATAAAGTTTACTTTTAAAAAGGTCAAAAGCACTTTCCAGACTCAAAGTCTCACTCCTTTCAAACTTCTAGGTCACCTGATGCTTGCAACATCATGTACTTATGTTAAATATTGAAGGTCTCTGATAAAATATAATAATATCAGAAAAGGCTAAGTCACTCTGTTATATTCACTTATTAGCCCAAATTAGTCCATATTCACTTATTAGTCCAAATTCACATTATATTTCTTACCAACCACCTAGTAGGGATTTAAAAAAATATTATAGGTAAATGATAGAGAAAGTAAGGGCTCTCCTTGAACAAGTAAGGCAGTGACCAAAAGAAGGCATTGGGAAGAATGGAGTACTTTCAGGAAATAACACCTTGATGTTTTCTTTGTGCTTTCCAGTCAAGTTGATGAATAGATAAGTAAACAAATGGCTTAATTCATAGTTAAAACTAACGCACATACTTACTACCTAATTTTAGCTAGCGTCTTGGGATATTCAATGAATTTGAATGTTATTTTTAATATTTGATTGGCTATATCTGTAAACCATAGACTTCTGTTTCAACTTCAGAGCACGGAACAATGGTTGGAAGTAACAGATGTTTTTTTCCCCACCAGAAGAAAGAAGTATAAGAAAATATACTTCTGCTCCTCAAATAAATAAAGGGTCAGTTCACAAAGTATTGAGTTACCTGAAGCCTGAGTAACCATGGAGTTTGTTTCACTGGTCTGCTGGGTAGATGGGATTTAGATATCAATTGGGTGGCTGGACTAAAGCGATCTTTAAAATTCCTCGCAATTTTGAGATCGTTTGCCAGAAGAGTGCTGAGGACGATAAAGTGATCATATTAAGAACTTAAGCCTGAAGAAAGTGGCTAAAATAACTCAATATGCTTTACATGTCTTAGCTAAGTGATGAATTGGATAGATGCAATACCTCTTGACTGCCAGCTGAAGGGTAAAAAGAAGGATAGGATTATATATAGTGCCAAGAGGAGGTATAATGAGAAATAATACTATGAAATTTACTAAAGGAAACTGAGATCTGAATTAGAAACATTTTTTCAAATTAGAGCTTCAAAATCTAATGTGTTTTGGCACCGTCTCCCAAGGGCAGCCAGAGAAGGCCTTTGAAGAGCTCTGTGCAGCCTTGGTTGGAGCCATTTAAGCAACATGCCCTTTAGAAAATAAAAAGCCTTTCCGGAGGACAGGGGGAAGGGTTGTGCAATTTCTTTCAACACAAAATATTTTGATGTGAGGATTTCTCCTTAGGTTTATCTTCCTCAGACCATTTCTTCTGTAAACAGGCTGCAAGCAGACCCAGGCTTGACACACACAGGCTGCAAATTAAGAAGAATCCTGGGGGAATGCCTGAAACAGCGCTCCAAGCCTGCTCCCTTGTGGTCATGGGGTTAGCAAGACAGCAGCCATGTCTTTGGATAGTTTCTGCCCTCTTTCCTTTTGGAAACTTGGTTTGGAGGAAGCCTAGGCACCTCTGCGTGCCGTTCTTCTCTCCCTTCCCCTTAAGCTAGTACTTCCAATTTTTGTCTGGTGACCCTCAGGCCAGCAGAGGTGGGGAGAGGAGAAGCCTGCCTTTTCCCCTCACGGTTGGAGCTCGGTGTTTCCTGATTATTGAAGCCCACTCGCTTTGCTTTTCCCTCCCTTTTCCCGGGGCCAGATCTGTTCTTCACTTCTCTGGCAAGTACACTCGCCGGCTCACTTGCCTTTTCTGAATCAAAAATGCCACCTCTTCACTTTTGTTTAAAATAGGGAGGCAGCAGCTCAATATATCTGATCAATATTAGGAGCCAAGAACCCCTGGGTCTGAATCAGAGCCCTGGATCTTTCTCACTGTATAACCTAACTTAACAACCATGGACAAATCATGGAAACACTCTAAAGCTCAGATTCTTTATTTGTAAACTGCGGATGTCCTATTTTTCTCACAAACTACCATGGGGATCAAAAGTGATGATATATGTATATGTAGTTTTGGTGGTAAAGTTCTATGTTACTGTTAGTTACTATTGTTCCCAATAAACTGGGTACATCTTTCTTTGGCCTGTTGTATATACAATAACCTCCCAGTGGGACTTTGTCCCTCCTAATAAGATCTAAGTTCCGCAAGAGGGAAAGGATGTTTACTGCCCTATTCTTTAAACCTATAGAAGTGTTCAGAAGGCCATGAGCATCTTTGAGGGCTAAAGAAATCTGAGGGAAGCTAGGAGGTTTATCTATTCTTTGGTAGACAAGGGGCGAAAGAAATCCATGTCCTGTGGCCATGGGAATGGAAGAGGGCAGTACAAGATCAGGACAGGTGGATGAAAGGAAAAAGGGGACTTAGTTTTAGATTTAGGTGCTTCTGGACTTTCTCTGATAGCAGGTATTATAGGCTAAATTGGTGTCCTATCTCCCAAATTGATGTTGAAAGCCTAACCCCCAGTATCTCAAACTGTGGCTGCATTTGGAAACAGGGCCTTTAAAAAGGTAATTAAGTTAAAATGAGATCATTAGGGTGGGCCCTAATCCAGTATAACTGGTGTCCTTCTAAGAACAAGAAATTTGGACACAAACATGTACAGAGGGAAGACCACGTGAAGACACAGAGAAGCATACAAAGGAATGAAGTACTGATGCCTACTGCAATCCACAAGCCACCCAGAACTGTGAGAAAATGGATTTCTATTGTTTCAGTCATTCAGTCTGTGGTTCATTGCTATGGTAGCCCAAGCTACTAATACAGAGGGCTTGGGCTGGTGTAGCTCCATGCTGTCTGGCTGAATAAACCCCACCCTGCCTTCCTAGGGCCTTCTTTCCTCAGGAGTCAGGCATCACCAAAGGTATAGACTTGGCTGTCTTCCTCTTGGCCAGGTGAATACCTGGCAGTGATGTGTTTCTGATACTGCATGTTGTAGTCATGGAAAATATTTGTCTTTGAAGCATCACCCTCTGCCCACGGTATGTAGTTCTACAGGTCTGTAAGAGCACCATTGTGTTCTAGGTACATCATGGTAGACCAGAGGCTGTCCAATGGCCGACATTTAGGTTGTTTCCTTCTGCGTGGCTGGGACTACAGGTGTGCATTACCGTGCTTGACTATTTCATTTTTTGATTTTTAGTACAGATGAGATCTCTTTACGTTGCACAGGTAGGAGAATTGCTTGAGTCCAGGAGTTCGAGACCACCTTGGGCAACATAGCCATACTGTATCTCTAAGACAAGTAATAATAATAATAAAATATTAGCTGGATTTGTTGGCATTCGCCTGTAGTCCTAGCTACCTAGGAGGTTGAGGTGATCACTTGAGCCAGGGAGATAGAGGCTGTGATCACACCACTGCAATCCAGCCTGGGTGACAGACAGAGTGAGACCCTGTCTCAAAAAAAAAAAAAAAAAAAAAAAAGAAGGCAGAATCTTCTGCTTCTGAGGATATAATTGGTGATTTATATCACTAGCCACTGTCCTGTGATATTAACAGGTCTTAACTCTTCACTCATGTTAATAATCCTGAGATGAGGTTCCTCCTCTGGAGTATTGACTCAGAGCTAGCAAATAAGTAATTGTGATCATTCCAAATCACTCACTGCACCTTAGAGAGACGTTTCCGCTCTTTGCAGTTCTTTAGTATCATTCTTAAAGTTTGTTACTAATCTGCTATGCATTAACTAATAATCAGTTATATTATCATCTCCCCAAAGCACAGATGATAATACGTCAATCCTGCTGTTTAGACATTTCAAAACATTTTATTCTCAAAGAAAAGTTAGCTAGGAAGCTAGCTGGGAAGGATAGTTCAAAAGTAACAAGAAAGCCCCTTTTAGAAGGATGAGGTTATTTCCTGGGCAAGATGCAAATACTAACCTGTGTGCTCCACTAACCCACAGTGGACCTCGTGTTCAATGCCTAAAAGAATAATTCAAAGGAAGTTTTCCAATATTCACTGTCAGTTGTGATAGCTTTGACATTGTAGTCATGGTATAAGAGTTAAATAAATTCAAGAGAGAAATATTTATCTAAACTCTCTGGCAATGGTACTGTTATTCTCTTTTGTTAGTGAATAATTGAAAAGGTATCAAATAGCAAAGTTTCAATTATTCATCAAGTTACTTCATTTACTAGACAAATGTCTATAGGCAAATAACTGATACTTGAATTAAAAACTGGCAACATCTCCACAGGTTTGCTTATTGGGTCATCATTGCTTGAATCCTCAAATATAAAAGCTTCATACAAATTGTCTATCAGTGGTTACAGAGGGAGTTTGGTATTTACATTAGTTTTCTATTTCTGCTATAACAAATTACCATGAATTTAGCACTTAAACAATACGCATGTATGATCTCATAGCTCTGAAGGTCTGAGGTCTGGGTAGAGTTTAGCTCAGCTAGATCCTCTGCTTAGAGTCCAGAAGGCTGATTCTTTCTGGACACTGAGAGATGAATCCACTTTTAGGCTCATACAGTTTGTTGGCTGAACTCCGTTCTATGTGGTTATAGGACTGAGGTCTCTATTTTGTTGCTGACTGTCACTTGGGAGCCAGTCTTTGCTCCTAGTCTGCCCATATTGCTTCTTATGCATTCATGTGAGGCCCCTCCAGGAGCAATAGGTTGAGTCACTTTTGTGCTTCAAATCCCTCTGGCTTCTTTTCTGGTACACCTCTGCTGCCTCCAGCTGGAAAAATGTTCTCTGCTCAATTTTTTTAAAATTTCTTTTTTAATTTATATATATATTTTTGAGATAGAGTCTCGCTCTGTCACCCATGCTGGAGTGCAGTGGCACACCCTTGACTCACCACAACCTCTGCCTCCTGGGTTCAAGAAATTCTCCTCCCTCAGCCTCCCGAGTGGCTGGGATTACAGGCTCCCACCACCACTCCTGGCTAATTTTTGTATTTTTAGTAGAGACAGGGTTTCACTATGTTGGCCTGACTGGTCTTGAACTCCTGATCTCAGGTGACCTGCCCGTTTTGGCCTCCCAAAGTGCTGGAATTACAGGTGTAAGCCACTGTGCCCAGCCTCTCTGCTCAATTTTAGGGGTTTATGTGATTAGATTAGGTCCACTCAGATAATCCAAAATAATCAACCCATTTTACAGTTTGTCACCTAATTACATCACGGGGTCCCTTTCGCTGTGTTTTGCAACATATTTCAGGTTCTAGGGCTTACACATGAGCATTTTATGGAGCTATTATACCGCCTATTGAATAACAAGGCAGTTTTTATAATCCAAAGCCTCGAGATTTTTGTTTTCTGTGTAAGAAGAATAAAACAAATAAAAAGAACAAAACAATGTACAAATATCCTCTGTTAGGTGATAAACATGAGTGTAGACAGTATAATCTTATTTCTGTAATTCCAGAGCATTTATTTTTCTGGAATGTTGTGATTTGCAACTTGTTCCTACAACACACCTTTTCAATCCTTCCCTCCATCTAGAATTTCAAGCATGTAGTGTATATGATGATCATGCCAGGAGGCCCAAAAGAAAGAGGTGCTACAGAACTATTTTAGCTTTCTGAATATTATTTTATTTGCAGACTTATAGAATATACGTGCCCTGATTCTCCCAGATTCTGGCTTCCTGTCACCCTCTTCTGTTTGTACAAATTATGTAGACAATATAGCTAGATCATGAAATCAAACCGCTGTGTTCTGAAATTCTGCCTCTATCGTATTCTTTCTGACTTTTACATTAGACCTTACATTGGCAGCCCCTGGGAACCAATATTATGTATTTGGTTCTTTCAACAAGACTAAACCTCTTTATAACTTCCCCATCTTGTGTCATTTAATCCTCCACTGACATCTTCAAGCCTTTCCTGTTATTACATGAAAAGATATTCATCTGGAAATGTCACCTCAATGTAAATGTTACAGCTATCAAAACTATGAAGTGTCTGAGATTTTATCCTATTTGCAAGCTAATAAGTTTACCTGTCACAGTTTCATGGATGCTTGTAGAAGATACGAGACTCCTGGGCTAGAGACAAAGGATATTATTACTCATGGCACTCACGAAGCAGGAACGTCATAATGTTCAAAATGTTTCCCTTGCGCCCTGATACCCAGGGGCATGATGTGGAGCAGCCTAGGTGGATACTCCACATGCAGTGGGTTTGCCTCATGCTGAGAAACTCTGAGCTTTTAAAGGGATCTCAGAAACCACTGTTTTAAAGGGGGCTGCCAGAAAATCTGCCCAACCTTGGCTTGAAAAGAGACATTTTATTATCCTGATTGCAGACAAATCAGCCTTGTGCCCTAGAGAAAGGTACTATATCTTCCAAGGCTGTTGCTATACAAATATCCTCCAAAAGACTGTGCTGTAAAAAGCTGCCAATTCCTCTAGTCAAAAGACATGCAGAAATGCAAGAGATCCATGAGGAATTGTCTTCCAACTGCTTCTTGTTCAAAAAGTGTCCCTTTGCCGATAAGCGAGCATGCCTGTCTGATACAAACCAGACTAGCTTTGCCTAGATTTAAATGATGTTAGAACCATTTAAAATTAGCTAAATTATATACACATACTTTATAATTAATTATTTCTTGAAAAAATTGCATATACATACACATATACAAATAAACACTTTCCAAGAGACTATTACTAAACAAGCAACAAAATATTTATTTCTAACATTTACTAAGCAGAACAAATGAAACAACATAGCAATTAAAAGATTGAGACATGGTTTAAAGAACTGTGCTTACATATTTAAGAAAGGGCTTCTCTGGGAAAAGGAACACTGCTCTAAGCTAGCTTTCCCAAAGTTTGATATTCAAGTACAATTTCCTATAGCTAATCCTTGAGAAAAGAATTCATATTCTAGTAATTTGAGGACATGCTTTATAACAGCCTTTTCTCCACTAAGAATCACAATGCAATTTAGCATATTAAAGATTCTGAGAAGTCTTGACATGAGGAAATTGGTTTTATTTTGTTTAATTCACTATTGTCTTAATTAATTTGATAATGAACTCTCTCTCTGTGTGTGTGTGTGTGTGTGTGTGTGTGTGTGTATCTAGTACTAAAGGTGGTACTACATAAATGTGACCAAGATTTAGATTTACTAGGTTATTCTTTTCTTATTTAGCATGGGCTATTTAAAGTCTTGGAATATACTTTGGATTTGATTTATTCTGCACATTTCACATTCAAATTCTACATTTTTATAGGGCTTGATTATCTGGAAATGTCATTAACTTATTCTCACTGTCCTTCTGCTTCCTCCGATCTATTTATAAGGTCAGTTCCTGAAGCTTAATTTTTCATATTGATGAGGAAATGTGCAGCTATGTCAAACTTTTTAATAATTCACAATAAGGATAAGCATCCATGTGTAATCTTTGCACTTATAAAATACACCTTAAAAGTGATCAATTAGTTACCAAAAACTACTCTTATTTTAATGTAAATTAATTTTATACCATTTGTAGGTCTTTCCACATAGTTAACCTCAGCCTTAAATAGTTTGATTTTTTTCCCTGCCTGATAAGATACAAAATGCACAACAGGACACACAGTAATAAGAAACAAGGGCAATTTCTTTTAATACAGATGTTCTTTCTTTTTTTTAGTCTCATTTAGAGGAAAAGATGTTCTAATAAATGATGACAGTTTCTTTTTTATTATATTTTCTTCCAATCTTTAAAAAAATCAGTTTCATTGAGTATAATTAATTATATAATAAATCAATTTAAATTGAATTGTATAATTCAATTAGCTTTGAAAAATGTATAAAGTTGTGTAAGTGTCACCACAATCAAAATATAAAACATTTTTATCATCTCTAAAAGCATCCCTGTGCTTTTTTGCATTCAGTTCTTCTCTTTGCCCCCCAGCCTCTGGCAACTACTGATCTTTTTGTTACTATAGTGTTATTTTTATCACAGTGCATGTAATTCTCTGTGTCTGACTTCTTTCACTTGAGTAATTCATTTGAGAATCATCTATGCTGTTGGCTCTATCAGCACTGTATTTCTTTTTATGACTAAGTAGTATCCCCTTTTATAGATATACTATTTGTTTAATTCATTTACCACTCTAGGCACATTTGGCTTGTTTCCATTTTGAGCTATTCTGTATACTATGCAGCCATAAACAATGAAGAGTTCATGTCCTTTGTAGGGACATGGATGAAATTGGAAATCATCATTCTCAGTAAACTATCGCAAGAACAAAAAACCAAACACCGCATATTCTCACTCATAGGTGGGAATTGAACAATGAGAACACATGGACACAGGAAGGGGAACATCACCCTCTGGGGACTGTTGTGGGGTTGGGGGAGGGGGGAGGGATAGCTTTAGGAGATATACCTAATGGTAAACGACGAGTTAATGGGTGCAGCACACCAGCATGGCACATGTATACATATGTAACTAACCTGCACATTGTGCACATGTACCCTAAAACTTAAAGTATAATAATAATTAAAAAAAATGACTATGAACTTTCAGTCTTTACATGACATATATTCTCATTTTTTCTTGTGTAAATATGGAGGAGTGGAATTTCTGGGTACTGTGATAGGTGTCCTTTTAGCCTAAGAAGCAGCTGGCAAGCTGTTTCCCAAAGTGCCTGCATCAATTTTAATTTTACTTGTACATTGCAACAACATATGAAACTTTAGTTAATCCCTGTCCTCACCAACACTTGGTAGAGTTAGTCTTTTTAATTTTAGCCAATTTAGTGGACATGTAGTAGTATTTGTATTTCCTTAATGACTAATGATACTGAGCACCTATTATGTGCCTATATGCCATTTGTATATTTTCTTTTAAGTAGTGTTCACATATTTTTGCCCAGTTTTTATTGAGTTGTCTTATTATCAAATTACGAGCTCTTCAGATATTCTTGTCACAAATCCTGTAACAGTTATATGTTTTGAAAATATTTCTCCCAAGTCTGTGGCTGCTTATCTTTTTATTCTTTTAACAGTATTTTCTGAAGAGCAATTTAAAAAATATTATGAAGTCTAATTTATCATTTTTTCCCTTAGTTGGTGCTTTTGGTGTCCTAGGAAATATTTGCCTAGCCCATGGTCACAAAAATTTTCTTCTGTTCTTTCTTTGCAATTCCCACTAATATTCCTTATTCTGCAGTCTATTTATTTCTGGTGTTAATACAGCCACTACAGCTTTCTTTTGATTATTTTTCATGTTATATGTAGTCCATATTTTTTCCATTCTTTTATATTTAACTTGTTTTTATTTTTATTATTATTATTTTTGAGACAGGGCCTTGCTCTGTCACCAGGCTGGAGTGCAGTGGCACAATCTCTGCTCACTGCAACCTCTGCCTCCTGGGTTCAAGTGATTCTCCTGCCTCAGCCTCCCAAGTAGCTGGGATTACAGGTGCCTGCCACCATGCCTGGCTAATTTTTGTATTTTTAGCAGAGATGGGGTTTCACCACGTTGATAAGTCTGGTCTCGAACTCCTGACCTCAAGTGATCGGCTCGCCTCGGCTTCCCAAAGTGCTGGTTTTACATGTATGAGCCACTGTGCCTGGCCTATATTTAACTTATCTTAAAAGTATTTATTTTTAATGTTGGTTTTCTGGAGACAGTATATCGCTGGATTTTGATTTTTTATTAAATCTGACTATTTCAGATTCAATAAAATCAAAACTTTTAGACTATTTATATAAGTGTAATTACTGATATACTTTGATTTAAATCTACCATCTTTCTACTTATTATTTGTTTTATCTGTGTCCTTCCTCCTGCCCCAATTTTCTTGCCTTCTCTTAGTTTGTTTTTTATCTGACTGCTTTCCACGCTTTCCCTCAGCATTTTAGAGTTTTACTTTATGCACGTGCAGATCAGTATTTAAACAATGATTTGAGTGGCAACTTCAGCAGATCTCTGAAGCTCCCTCTTCACTGTTCTGTCCCACAAATTTTAGACGCTCTGGTTTCTTCAAACTCTAAACCTTACCTCTTCAACTCATTGACTCTCTAGCCCCTCTTAGTCTTCTGCCTCACTGCTTTTGATCCTAAAAACTGTGGCTGGGTGTGGTGGCTCATGCCTGTAATCCCAGCATTTTGGGAGGCAGAGGGGGGCAGATCATGAGATCAAGAGATTGAGACCATCCTGGCCAACATGGTGAAACCCCGTTTCTACTAAAAATACAAAAATTAGTTGGGTGTGGTGGCGCACGCCTGTAAGTCCCAGCTACTTGGGAGGCTGAGGCAGGAGAATCGTTTGAACCCGGGAGGCAGAGGTTGCAGTGAGCTGAGACCGCACCACTGCACTCCAGCCTAGCGACAGAGTGAGACTCTGTCTTAACAACAACAAAAAAATGAAATTCCTTCCAGGCAGTAAGCTGGGGCAATTGAAGAGTTTAACTCATGTTTTCCCCCTCTAGCAGGTATAACTGACATACATCACCTATGTCCACTGTCTGCAATCATTTGTTTCATATATTTTTTCTAGGTTTCTAGTTGTGTATAGCAGGTGGCAGTTCCTATAGCATTAATCTTTCATGGGTGGAGTATTTGATAATGCTTTCTTTATTCTACCCTTGTGGAAATTGTCTGAATAAATTTTCAGCACCATGTTGTATGTGAGTGAATGATGTTCAACCTTAGGAATTAGTCCCCACTGTGGAAAAGTACCTCCTCTTCCTTTTCTAAACTTTCCTCTCCAACCCTCCATTATTTTTAATGAAGAACTGTCATAGGCTAAATGACTTGAATTTCATAGGGTATAGACTTGAATTTATGTTTTTCTTAGCTGCAGCTGTTTAAAAAATAGGAAAAGATTTTCTGAATTTTCATTAATGTATTCATTGAGTTGATTTTGCTACTAAAATGGACTTTTATTGTTTTGTTCCTGCCAACTTCAGAATAGACTTTAAAACCATTTGTTTTTTTATTTATGAAATATGGTTTAATAACTAAAAATGCTTTATTGGTCCTTTATAGGAACTGCAAAATATGTAAAAAAGAGTGGGAGTGTGAAATGGGGAAAATTATTTAATTATCAATATCACCCTTTACTGTAAGCAGCTTATGCTTCTCTTTGGCCTTGAAAATGAACCTATGACATTCTGTGAGAAGAGTTGGCAATCCAAATAGGAACAGAAACACTGTTAGAGAAATCTAGAACAGACACAGAGAGTCTGTCCTTATCTGTGGCAGAAGACAGAAATCATGGGTTAAAAGTACTGAGAGTGTGACACTTTGAGCTAAACCCAACACCCCCATGACCATTGGGAGAGATGGAGACTTTGATTTCTCACGTTGTTGCTGCTCAACTCTCGGCACATGAGCTTCGTGCAACCTTCTAAATATTTCTTCTCTGACATGGGAAGAAGGAAAGCTTACGAGAATTGAATTTTCTTTCCTTTTCACTTGGGGAGAGAACCTTAATAATGGGAGAAAAGTAGTAAATATGCAAGCCCAGCATGTTGGATACAGCATTCTCTCTAGAAAAATAACCAGCTGGTCTTATCAGATTCCTGCCTGGAAGAGTATAAATAGCCTTTTCAGCGGTGCTGCCACAACTACTTACACTTTATAAATCAAAATTTGTAGTTTTGCTTGGGGAAACAAGCTACTTAAACAGGCCCATTTTAGAAAAACCTTTTCTGAGGCTCTTACTTTTCACTCAATCATTTCAGGTATGAAGCCTAGTAATTTTGGCATCATAGGTATTTATTCAATTTCTTTTCATACTGTACTGTAAGAAACCAGAGTAATTGTGCTCATTTTTCTGTTTTTTTACTAGGTGATAAACTGTTCCCATTTCCATGTCTTACAGAGATGCATTTAGATTGCCCTTAGGCATTGCTGGGTAGAGCTGTGCTAGCTGCCTGCTCAAACCTTCTATAGTGGCTTTTTTTCCTGTCACATGAGATAAAAAAAATCTTATGAGCTGCTGCCAAGGGGTTGGTTATGCTTCCTAGGGCTTCCGATGAGAAAAAATGTGGGAGAGCATAAGTTGTTAGAAAGTTAACTGAATCAAATGCCTGGTTGCTTCATTATTCAGCTTAAATAGTAAACTCAAGCTGTGTGACCTTCTGTGTGACATGAACTATTGCTTGAGGTTGGGGACGTGAAGATGAACAACAGAAAGCCCTGTTCTTGAGGAGCTGCTAGTCTAGCGACATGACACCCAGGTAAGATCAGTGGGTTACGTGCCAAGATGAAGGTGGAGGGAACCACGAGAACACAGAGGAAAGGCAGAGTCTCACCGAGCTAGGAGACGTACCCGACCGCTACTAAATAGCCAGGAAAATAGTTTTCACATTCTTTGATATCACTGCAAGTGAGTGAAAGCTGTAAAAATCAGGAGTAGAACGTGCTACCTGTTTCTGCAGTCCTTCAGTGTGGAAATTGTGTTTAAAGAAGGCATCCAGTGATGGGCTTGCAGTGGCACTGTTACTACAGAGTGAGAGGTAGACAAGCATCGGTCTCCTAGGAGAGGTCTCTGAAGGACATTGGAGCCAGATACTTGTAAATTAAGACTTTACAAATAATTACACCCATATTTTTTGAAGTTATCAAGCTGCTATTCTTAATTGGATTGTAATACAAATACTTTCCCTTGATTTTTGTTTCAAATATAACCAACGATCCTACTTCTGAATCACATCACAACTGATTAGATCAAATTATTTGTGAAAATGGACAACTTTTTCTAGTAAAAAATGCCCGTAAGGTTTTGCACAGTAATAAAACAAATTTGACCAGCCACATTTACAGGTGATTTTTCTTAAAACCTGAGATCTGTAGTAATATGTCATTTTTCTAGAGGAGCAGTTTGAATTCCATCCTCAGTAAGAGTGCTGTGCAGGGCAGGTAACCTTGCTTGGGAGTGAGTCTAGCTGGCCACCCTAAACCTGAATACTACTTTGCTTGTGTTCACTTGTTCTTATAGTCAAAGTAGTTTTCTTTAAAGGGACTGAAAAAGCCATTTGAGTTTATTTTTGCAGCTAAAATTCACTTCACTATATAGAATAATTTATAATCTATAGTGCTGTTTATGAATTTGTAGATTAGAATTTGGTCCTCTCTGAATACCAAGAATTACTGTATTATTTAGGACAATTTGTTTTTTCAGCATTAGGTAACCAATTTCTTAATTTTTGTTTGTTTGTTTGTTTGTTTGTTTGAGGCAAGGTTTTCCTTCATTAACCAGGCTGGAGTGCAATGGTCGGATCATAACTCTCTACAGCCTCAAACTCCTGGGCTCAAGGGATCCTCTCGCTTCAGCCTCCCTAGTTGCTGGGGCTACAGGCATGCACCACCAAGCCTGGCTAATATTTAAAATTTTTTTTGAAGAAAAACAATTTCTTTCACTTTGTTACCCAGGCTGTTCTTGAAATCCTGGGCTCAAGAAATCCATCTATCGTGGCCTCCCAAAGTGCTGCGATTACAGGCATGAGCCACCATGCCTGGTCCAATTGCTTAAATTTTTAATTCTCTCCATTTAAAGTTCTTCTCCCAAATCTTAAATTCACTGAGAAGTGTCTGCATCAACAATGTATATATGGCTGGGCGTGGGGGCTCACGCCTGTAATCTCAGCACTTTGGGAGGCTGAGGCGGGTGGATCACGAGGTCAGGAGTTCAAGACCAGTCTTGCCAAGATGGTGAAACCTCGTCTCTACTAAAAATATAAAAATTAGCCAGGTGTGGTGGCGGGCACCTGTAATCCCAGCTACTCAGGAGGCTGAGGAAGAGAATTACTTGAACCTGCGAGGCAGAGGTTGCAGTGAGCCAAGATTGCACCACTGCACTCCAGCCTGAGTGACAGAGAAAGACTCCATATCAAAAAAACAAAAACAAAAAACCAACAATGTACATGTGAGGAATGGTGCTTGGAGCATGAGCAGTGTGTTGAAATCACTGGTGCCAGGGGTGGGTCACATTGCAAGTGCCCATGAGTTGAGTGCCAGCTGGAAGTTGGTCAAGTGAGGCTTTAAAGTGGATGAAGAGTTCCCAGAGAAATATTGTATGGAAACCTGGTCTGGATGATCTTGTAGGCTAGTCTAGAAATTCATGAGGATGGTAAATGTTTTCTGCAGTTTTGCGTAGACCTGGAATTGTGAAAACATGGCTGATTCTGCAATGACAACTTCCACTAGTTCTCTACCAGGGCAGTTCTATTGCTAATACAAGTATTTCCTTGTTTTTTAATGCTATGTTCCTGGTCTCAGGAAGATGTCTATTAGGTCTCAGATTATGGGCTCAGGTTTATTAGTATTATTACTATTTGGGAAATAAAAATTACAGCAGTAAGAGGAAGAATTGCTGATAGGGAAGCAGAAGGTTGTTCTAGAGGGTACTTTGTTGTTATATGCACATTACAATATCCAAGCCTCCAAAATGAAGCATAAATTTGGAACTTGGTTGCTTGATGTAAGATGTTCTTCCTCTTTAAAATGTTTACAAGGTTGATTGAAACAGCTCAGTCGTACATGTGAATTTTGACATTCCCTCAGATGCTCAGTTACCCGGTGGTGTGGCATTATGGAAATGTAATATGCCAGCCAGCAGTCACTTGCATCTCCCAAAAGTTAATGCCTTTAGTAGGAGATGTTTTGCTATTAGAGAGGGCTTAAAGTTATGGGATCAGACTCCACACACCAGTGTCTAATCTATCTTGCAGTAAAGTGTATAGCAACAAGATGGTACTGCCTGGCTATATATGCTAAATTCCTTGCATAGGTGGTGTTACAGTTCTACTCTAAATAAAGCAATCAATCAATATTTCTCCTCTGCTTACACTCCAATCTTCAGAACTGCTTGTTAAGCTAGCTAGATGGATTTACTTAGGGCAGTGAAAGACATTCAGCAAGTCCATCCAATTTCTTGATTTATTTGCTATTGATGCATAAAATAAGCTTGTCTGTGAAATAACCAGGTTGAAATTGCTGTTCTCATGCATTTTCATTGTTATTATTTGGCTAGACTGACTCCTGAGGGTCAAATTAAAACTCATTCATCCAGAGCTACATGAGTGACAATGGATAGCTTCTTCAGTTAAAATCAGTACCAGTATTGTGTTTGAATAACACCATTGAATAATCTTAGATAATATCTAGATCTACCAAATTTTCTAAAAGTAAAGAGGAAGAATATCCATATGAATTGTTCATCTTCGAAATGTGTTTGAATTTAGCACCTAGATTTTATTGTCACTTAAAGTGAAGAGACATACATCAACCTAAGAACTCAATGACAGCATATGTGAACTTTTCTAACACAAGAAATAATCATGGTGATATTTACACTTTGTATTGCCTTATAGTTGACAAAAGACTTTTCACGGTGTTATGTCTTCTGATACAACATCTGAAGATATTTCTGAAATAAATTATTGTCACCTTGTTTGAAGACTGGATAATTTTTAAAAATTCTTAAAGATAGTCATTATTCAGAGACACTTAAAGTCTTGCTATCTTCCCTAATTTTAATAATGCAAAATCCTTTAGAAAAAATTATAGATATCTCTTTTTTTTTTTTTTTAGATGGAGTTTCACTCTTGTTGACCAGGCTAGAGTCCAATGGCGCAATCTCGGCTCACTGCACCCTCCGCCTCCCGGGTTCAAGCGATTCTCCTGCCTCAGCCTCCTGAGTAGCTGGGATTACAGGAGTGTGTCACTACACCCAGCTAATTTTGTATTTTTAGTAGAGATGGGGTTTCTCCACATTGGTCAGGCTGGTCTCGAACTCCCGATCTCAGGTGATCTGCCTGCCTCAGTCTCCCAAAGTGCTGGGATTTATAGGTGTGAGCCACCGTGCCCGGCTGATGTCTCTCTTTTTTTTTACAAAAATTATTTTTGCGAAGTATTTAATGTAAAAAATACATTTCCAAAGGCAACAATCTTTAGTCAATGTACTACTCTTTTCAAAAAATATATTTTAAAATGTTTGACTTCTACTTAAAATGCATATTTTCTATTGTATAGAGCTTAGAAATAATTCTAGTCCATGGCCTTCATTGTATAGATGAGGAAATGAAGACATACAAGGTGACTTGCCCAAGGTCACTCAGTGTTAGCTGACATTGGCACCTTCCTCTATTACTCTCAGACAACTACTTGTTTTTTACAAAACAAAATCTCCATACTATAGTACCATAGTTTCAAAACAAGACTGTATGGTGAACAGCCAGTCTTATTAGGTAAAGTATTTCCATGCCAAATGTAAGTCACATAGGGCATTTTGTTCTTGGAGTAATTAAACAATATGACCCACAAAAGTTGAAGGATTATTCTCAGTTGTCTCCTGCATCTATTTTGGTACAGGAATGTAAACATGGAACAAGAAGATGGCTGTCACTCAAAATAAATTGCTGCATTGGCCAGACGTTTTGGCTTTTCTGGTTGAGGGCCCAGTGGTACATTGTGCTCTTGGCTTCCAGAAAATGGAGTGGATCCCAAGGCTGCTGGTTCATGCAACTGCAAGACCTAGTATGTTTTTTCTTACTATTAGCCATGTATAGGCTGCAAGTCCTTCGACCAGGATGATTTAACAACTGAGTCAGTTGATTATATAGAGAACCCCACTCTATCTCAGTGTACTGATTTACACACCTTAACTAGCTGCAGAAATCAGATGAATTTCACTTAATAATGGGGTAGATAGGATCCAGTATGGCGCCCACTATTATAGTTTCTTCACTATTTTGCCCCTTCTAAAAGTGGCATCTTTTTTTTCCACTATTTTTGACCACTTGAAAAAGAGACCAGGAAACAAGGATAATGAATGGGCCCCATATCAACCAGTTTTTTTTTTTTTTTTGGTGTTTTTCTTATAATGTCTCCCATTTAAATATTCTTTCTGTTTCTCTAAATATCACTCCTTTGCTAGGTCTGAATCATCCTTAACAAGTATATTTTTTGATACCGTTGTATTTTTCAGGGGAAAAGGAAAAAAAAAACCTTTTTATTTAAGGATTTTTGAACACTAATATCTTTTACCTAGAAAGAATTTCTCTTTTTACTTAAGTTTGAACCAGGAACTTGAAACACTATACATTTTCTGTTACCTTTGGCAATAAAATTAAATCTGAAGTGAAAGAACTGAGTAATCTACAACATATCCATTTGTCAATGTAACATCCTGAGTAGCACACTTTAAACTTTTAAGCATATACATTTTTAAAAGATCTCCCTATAAATAGCTAATGGGGAAAATCTTGATGTATGAAAGCTCCGAGTCATCTGTCTCACCCCACTGCTACTGTCATGAGAGAGGGAACAGAATTTGTCATTAATGGTTCAGCTCATGGGGAAGTCCCTTTCTGAATTTGAAAATGGCTGTATATGTTTGCAGATAATGGTCCAGGTGCTTTTAAGTATCTTGTATCTAAGGAACATGATTTTTAAAATCATAATTTAGAAATAAAATTAAGTAATTAAAATAATAAAACATGTCAATGGGCATTATCATAGAAAGTTTTTGAAACTCTGTAATTTGGGTCTAGTCGGTCAACCCTGTCTTATGGATGACAGTGGCATAGGCCAAGATGTAGGTCAGGATGCTGTAACCTAGTGGTCAGCTAAGGAATGCTGCTGTATGAGATTGAAGTGAAATTAGTTTGTACTACCATGCATTGGCCTTGTAGAAGTCCAATGCCCTCATCCAGAGTTCTGTGACTCTCTGGGATGGGGAGGCCGGAGCTTATATTTTCATGATCACCTTTGGCTCTGTTTGTGCATCTGATGAAGTATTCTTCATTCTTCACCTTGAGGCTGTCCCTACATCTCAATCCTGGTGTTGACACAAAGGGTTTGGTCAGCGATTGGTGTTTTTGATACTCTTTTCACCCTAGAGCAACCTTAATGCAGGTTGATTGCATGAAGTTTCCTTAGTGAGAGGGCCCATCATTGTTCAACAATTGTAAACAACATGAAATTGTACATTAGAAAATCCTTGCCATTTATGAACCAAAGTTGGTTTTCCTTCAGTTTGTTTTGCATAAATTTTTTTTAAAAAACCTAATTAGTACATGTGTTAAAAATTTTCAACAGCATGGAAGGGTACTCTTGTATGCAAAAAATATTCTTACATGAGATCACCAATTAGCCTGCTCTGAGGTGACTACGGTTAATAATTTGTATTCTCCTATAATATTTTTAAACATATATGTCTCAATCCTTCTTTGTAAACAAAATATCACACTATACTTAATATTTTGTACCACTTTGCATTTTATACGAAAAAATATTTTTGAGTAATCTGATATCAGTATCTAAAGACCTGTTTTATACTTTGAGTAGCTGCATAATAATATTTCATTGTATGAGACTTTCAGTAATTTATTATTTCTTTTTGTTTTCAAACACCAACTATTAATAGAATCAGATATACTATAATTTATTAACCAGCCAGCTCTTTACAGATATTCAAGATGTTTCCAGTTTGTTGCTATTTTTTTTTTTTTTTTTTTTTGAGACGGAGTCTCGCTCTGCTGCCCAGGCTGGAGTGCAGTGGCACCATCTCTGCTCACTGCAAGCTCCGCCTCTCTGGTTCACGCCATTCTCTCCTGGGCTCAAGTGATCCTTCCACCACGTCCTCTGAAAGTTCTGGGATTACAGGGATGAACCACTGCACCCAGCCCTGGATAAATTTTTATAAGTGAATTTTTTTGGATTAACAGGTATTTGGATATTTAATTTAACACATATGGCTAAATTGGTCTCTTTTAGAATCAGCTTGTCTGGTTCCATCATCCCCAAGATCTCATTTGTAGTTTCATTTGGATCACATTGAATTTATTAAATGTTAGGGAAAATAATATTTTATGATTGTATCTTACTGTGCAAAACCAGAGTGGCTTGCAATGTGTTTGTCTTATTTTATGCCTTTTAGATTTTAAATTTTCTGTGTTTTTGACTCTGTTCATTTCTTGTTAGATTTTTTAAAATTAAACTTGAAATTTTGACATAATTTGTAGATTCATTCAGTTGTAAGAAATAATCCTGTGAGATCCCAAATTTTACTCAGTTTTCCTCCAGTGTCATCATCTTGTGAAATTGTAATACAGTCTTGCAACCAGGATAATCAAATTGACAAAGTCAAGATTTAGAACACTGTCATCACCACAGGATGCCAGGACAAACTCTTTTGTAGCCACACGACTTCCTACCCTATCTTCTATTCCTACTCTCCAAGAATCACTAATTTGTTGTTCCATTTCTATAATTTTGTCATTTCAAGAATGTTACGTAAATAGACTCAAACATGATATAACCATAGAGGAACAGCTTTTTTCACTCAGCCTAATTTCCTGGAGATTCATCCAAGCTGCTGTATGTATCAATAGTTTGTTCCTTGGTATTATTGAGTAGCATTCAATGGTATGGGTGTACCAAAGTTTATTGAACTATTCCCTACTGAAAAACATCTGAGCTGCTAACAGTTTTTAAAATTTTATTAATAAAGTTTTATAAAGATTTATGTACATATTTTTTGTCAATATGTCTTCATTTCTCTGGGGTAAATGCCAAAGAGTCCAGTTACTGGGTTATAGATAGTTGAATATTCTGTTTTTTTGAGTCAAAGAAATTTTGCCTAGCATTCAATGGTATGGGTGTACCAAAGTTTATTGAACTATTCCCTGCTGAAAAACATCTGAGCTGCTAACAGTTTTTAAATTTTATTAATAAAGTTTTATAAAGATTTATGTACATATTTTTTGTAAATATGTCTTCATTTCTCTGGGGTAAATGCCAAAGAGTACAATTACTGGGTTATAGATAGTTGAATATTCTGTTTTTTTGAGTCAAAGAAATTTTGCCTAGCCTTATAGCGTAGATATGTATTTTCTCCTGTGTTTTATTCTAAAAGATTTGTAAATCTATGGTTTACATTTAAGTCTGTGGTTAATTTTAGAATAAATTTTATATGAAGTGTGAGTTCTAGGTTGAAGTTCTTTCTTTCTTTCTTTTCTTATAGATGGTCAATTGCTCCATCACTATTTGTTAAAAACATTAGCTGTCCTCCATGAATTGATTTTGCACCTTTGTCAAAAAGCATCTGAGCATGTCTCTTGGGCCTATTTCTGAATTAGTTTGCCTTTTATTTTCCCTAAATTACTTAAAGTTTTTTTTTAAAATCATAAATGAGTTTTTGACTCTTTAAAAAAATACTTTTTATGCGTGATTGATATGATCATACAAATTTTCTTCTTTAATCTGTTACTGTGGTAGATTATGTTGATTGATTATCAAATGTTGAACTGCCTCACATAATTGAAATAAATTCTAATTAGGTATAACCTATAATTCTTATCCACTTTAGTGTCTGATTTGTTATTTTGTTGAGAATTCTTGCATGTAGGTTTTAAGAGATACTGGTCTGTAAATTTCTTTTTTTGTGTGTGTATTATCTTTGTTTTCGGTATCATAGTAACAATATTCATTGGGAAATGTTCCCTACTCTTTTATTTTCTGGAAGAGATTGTATAAACTTTGTATTAATTCTTTTAATATTTGTAAGAATTCTCCTGTGAACCAATCTGGGCCTGAGGATTTCTTTACTGGATGCTTTTCAGTTGCAAATTCCATTTCTCTAATGGTTTATAGCACTATAATATGGCTATCTCTTTTATTTGATTGAGTTGGTAGTTTGTGGTTTTTGAGGAATAGTCCCATGTCTTCTAAGCTGTTGAATTTATGAGTACGTGAACAGAAGTTTTCTGAAAAGGAATTTGGAAGGAAGAGATTTTATTCCAGTGAACAGTTTGCAAATGAGGGAGAAGCAGCCTTTAGTATAAAACAAAGGAGCATTCCAGAGAACAAAGGAAAGGCTCATGTATTTATAAAGTCCCAACCCAGGTTCCCAATCAGGTCGATTTATGCAAATGAAGGATTGAAACTTGATTAGTGCTGATTGGTCAATGCAGCTAAGTTCTGATTGGTTGGTTCAGGTGAGCTCTGAAAGTTCCAGTAATAAAAAGGTTGAATTTTGGAGGGAACTCAGAGTATTTGTGTGACCTCCAATCAGCAAATGGCTGCTTAAGTCTATTTTGAGTTTATATCCAGTTAGCCATTCGGGATCCATCTTGAAGTATTGGCTCTTTCAGATTTATACTTTTTCAGAAGTATATTGTTCTGCAGTATTTTCCTAATATCTTTTTAATAAGTATAGTGTCTGTATTGTTATCTCCTATTTCATTCTTAATATTGGAGATTTTTGTCTTCTCTTTTCTTATTTTTGTCAATTTTGCTAGAGATTTATTAATTTTTTTAAGAACAAGCTTTTTGTTTTATTGTTTTCCTCTTTCCAATTTCACTGACTTTTTGCCTTATCTTTATGATTTCTTTCTTTCTGCTGGATTTGAGTTTATTTCACTTTTTTTCCCCTAGTTTCTAGAGGTGCAACTTACGGACTTGAGATCTTCCTCTTTTCTCACGTAAGTATTTAGTGCTATAAATTTTCCTCTCAGTACTCTGTTAGGTGCATACCACATATTTTGAAATATTGTATTTTCATTTTCATTTAGTTTTATGTGTTTTTAAAATTTTTATTTGATACTTCCTCTTTGACCCATAAATTATTTACAGTGTATTATTAAATTCCAAGTGTTTTAATATTTTTTATTTAAAACAATTTATTAAAAAATTTTTTCTATTTATTTACTTATTTATTGAGACTGGGGCTCACTTTGTTGCCCAGGTTGGAGTGCCAGTGGCATGACCTTGGTTCACTGTAAGCTTCACCTCCTGGGCTCAAATGATCCTCCTACCTCAGCCTCCAGAGTAGCTGGGACCACAGGTGTGCACCACTACACCTGGCTAATTTTTTGTATTTTTTGTAGAGAGGGGGTTTTGCCATGTTGCCCAGGCTGATCTTGAACATCTGAATTCAAGCAATCCACCTGCCTTCGCCTCTCAAAGTGCTGGGATTACAGGCGTGAGTCATAGTGCCTAACCGAAACAATTTTTTTTTAAGAGACAGGGTCTTACTATGTTGCTCGTACTGGCCCTGAACTCCTAGGCTCAAATGATCCTCCTGCCTCAGCCTCCTGAGTAGCTGGGACTACAGGCATGTGCCCAATGTTTAGAGATTTTTCCATAATTTATTTTTGGTGTTGATTTTTAGCTTGATTCTATGATGATTAGAGAATATACTCTGTATAATTTTTATATGTTTGTGGAACTTTTGTTTTGTAGCTCAAGATGTGGTCTTAGTGAACATTCCATTGGCACATAAAAAGATGTGTGTTTTTGGGTGAGGTGCTCTAAACAGGCCAATTAGATTGTGTTGTTTAGGTATTCTACAGCCTTGTTGATTTGCTGTCTAGTAGTTCTATTAACTGCTGAGAGGGAGGTGTTGATGGCCCCAACTATAATTGTGGATTTGTCTATTTCTCTTTTCAGTTCTATCAATTTTGTTTCATGAATTTAGATGTTTTGTTGTTTACTGTATTAATATTTGGGATCATTATGTCTTCTTGATGCATTTGTCCTTTTATCATAATGTAATGTCTTTGACTATATAATTTTCCTTGCTCTTAAATCTACCTTGTCTGACGTTAATATATCCACTCCTGTTTTTGTTTTAAATAACATTTCATGATTTATTTTTTTCCATCCATTTACTTTCAACCTACTTATGTCTTTAAATTTTAGGTATATTTATTGTGAACAGCATATAGTTGGGTCACTTTTTATTTTATCTACTTTGCCAATTTCTGCCTTTTAATTGTTGTATTTAAACCATTCATCCTTAAACTAATTTTTGACATGTTAGTGCTTAAGTCTGACATTTTATTTTTTTGATTTCTGTTTGTTTCCTCTGTTCTTATTCTTTCTTTTTTCTTTCCTTCCTCTGGGTTATTGAACATTTAAAAAAAAATTCTACCTTGATGCATTTTTGAGATAGGAATAGCACTGAGTGGTTTCAGGGGGATGGAAAAACCCCAAACAACAACTAAAACAAGAATCAGGCAAAGAAACCACACAATAACAGAAAATCCAAAACAAGGGAAAGAAAATGGCCAAAACTCTGGTCAAGGTGACTTGTCCATGACTGTTCCAGGTAAACCCAAATGAGGGAGAAGGTGGGTGGTAAGTGGGGGAGGGGTCCCTGAAATCCCCTCCTTTTCCAGAATACCTAGTGATTACTGCACCCCCTCATTAAAGAAATATCCATAAAATAGGAACGCTGGGTGGCCACAGGAAAAACGGAAAGATATCAAGGAACAATTTCACATAACAGCAAGAAAGGAACTGTTAAAAATTAGCTATAAGGACAAGGGCGAGCCTGGGCTGAGAAGACCCTAACAAACAGGACAGAGGCTAAGCTGGCTGACACCAGCTGGGTCCAGCGAGGCACTGGATTTGATCCATGCCCTACCAAAGTCCTAATTATATGCTCATTACCATACTAAATCACACACCCACCATTGCCATGACAGATTCAAGCATGGCCATATTTAGCGTAAAAATGGGTGGGCCCTTAGTTCTCAGAAATTTCTGCCTTTTTCCTAGAAAATCTCCAGATTATTCTACCCCTAATTAGAAGAGCCTATAACATTAGTAACCCAAACTCCATCGTGCATGACTCTGTCGTGAGTACGCCTGCAGCCCCGCCCTTGAGTGCGTACTTTCACTTTGCAGTCAAAGCTCCTTGTCTTTTCATTTCATTCTGACTCCTCCCTGAATTCTTTGTTATAATGGTGTCAAGAACCAGCTAGGGCTGGCGTCTCACTGGCATCTGTAGACCCACCTAAGCCCTCCGGCAGCATCTCTGGGACTTTTGAGTGCATCACTCTGTATAGTTTTCTTAGTGGTTGCTCTGGGTATGAAAATTTACATCTATGATTTATCACAGACTACTAGCATCAACGTGTTGCACTTACAAGTTAAGTGTGGAAGCTTTACGCCCATTTACCCTCTACCTTTCCCATTTTTAAATATCATTGCCTTAATTATTAGATGGGGTTATAATTTTTGTTTCAATCATAGCATGGATGTTAGGAAGCTCATGAGGACAGCCTATGGTATTCCATTCCTCACTGTGTTTTCTTCTTTCTTAATGCTCAGAAATACCTTAATTTGGCTGGGCACGGTGGCTCATGCCTATAATCCCAGCATTTTGGGAAGCTGAGGCGTTGGCGCATCACTTGAGGTCAGGAGTTCGAGACCAGCCTGGCCAACATGGTGAAACCCCGTCTCTACTAAAAATACAAAAATTAGCTGGGTGTGGTGGTGCATGCCTGTAATCCCAGCTACTCAGGAGGTTGAGGCAGGAGAATCGCTCCGGGAGGCGGAGGTTGCAGTGAGCCAAGATTGCACCACTGAACTCCAGCCTGGGTGACAAAGTGGGACTCCGTCTAAAAACAAACAAACAAACACAACCTTCATTTTTATTGCATTTCTGTCTGAAGAGCATCCTTCAGCCATCTTGAAGGTAGGCTGCTGGAGTACAGCTCCCAGCTGGCACTGCTTAAGGTGGCTGAAGGAAGGCCACCAGGACTGTCACCTCACATTGCCTCACATTGTCTCTAGGTGAGGGAATGACACCTCTGGCCTAGGGAGACAAAGAGAGCTTCCTCGGCTGGGTGCTGTGGTGGAGGCCTCCTTGACAGTGCCTGATGCCCCCACCAGACAGTGTCTCTAGGTGGAAGAGAGAAGAACCACAAGGAAGGGAGAACTTACCTTGGCACCTCTTAGCCCTGGGGCTTCGGCTCCGTCCCTGTGGTTCTGCCTGGCTCCTGGGATATTGTGTGCAGAACTTCCACTAGATTCCAATGTTGTTAGGTACCTGGGCCACCTTCTGTCGTGTTTTGGGAGTGGGAAATGCTAGGCCTGGGTTGCCTTCTGTTACGCAGGGGTTGCAAGATACCCTGAGGTTGTGTTGTTCACAATATAACTCTTCAGTCCTCTTGAGGTCCCAAATCAGTTTGCCTTCCTCTTACCACTTCTCCTTTGATTTTCTCCTGCCTTCTATCCAGGGTTTATCATTGTACTTAGCAGGGAGAAGCAAGGAGACCTAGTCTACACTAGTCATCTTGTTTGAATAGAAATCCCTTTTGTTAGAATTTTAAAAATTTAGATTGTTCAATTCTTAAATATCCTTTAGCCACCACAAAACAAAGGATTTCTCACTGGCTAAATTGTCCCATATAATGCTTGTATTCTTGTCTTTCCAATTTCATCTCTAATTCTCCCCTATTCTCACTAAGGTTTTCTAGAGAGCCAGAAATTCACACTTGATTATGCACAGAACTCTGCTCTCTGCAGCCCCTAACCTATAACTCTGCCCTAAGCCCTTTGGTCTGTCTCAAACCCATCAATGGGCTCAGTTGAACAAAAGAGTCTTCTGCTTCTCTGGCCAGCACAAAAGATAGGCAGAGACCCAGGGTAAGAACATTTTCCTTTCACAGTATCCTTTGTCCTTTGAAGACATTGACTGTTTTAAATAGTATCTTCTATCACCCCTACGTGTTAACACTAATGTAGACAGGGCATTTTTTGCTCCACCTTTTGACCAAAGACTATGATCTCCTTAAAGGTTGGGATTACATCCCTAACACCAAGCAAAGTGCCAAGCACAGAGAGGGACTGTAATAAATGTGTGTTAACTGGTAGGAATAAAAGGCAGGCTGTTAAACTCTTTCTTCACTGTGTCAATAGGTTCAGCATGACAATAATAGGTCTGGAGGGAAACTGAAAGGTCAATTAGTTCATCTTTTTGCTTCTGTCCAAGAACACACACCAGATAACTAGGTAGCCAGTCTGATTTTAAGTACTTGGAAAGAAAAGAAAATTACAGTTTCCTTTAGTAATCCATTCCAGTGTTTAACAACTCTCATTGTCAGCAAGATTTTCTTTATATCTAGCCTAAATGTCTCTCGTTGCATTTTTAAACCTTAGCAGGTAGAAATGTGCAGCCAGGATTTGAATGGTCTTTATTTCTTTAATTACTTTTGAGCAAGTGAACAAGTATTTATGAGCTAAATACTTTCTTTCCATGCATCAGGTCCCAAACTATCCTTTATCTGAATATATGTGCATTTACCTGTCTTCATCATTTGGCTCTGAACTACCAGTGCCCTGATATTAGCTCCTTCCTGTGGAATATTGATTGTGTTAATGGTTTCAGTTTGCACCAGCATTCTTTGGTAGTGCCTTCCCGCACTGACTCTGGGCTTAACCACATGACTTGCTTTGGTCGATGGGACAATTGCAAATTAGATGCAAGCAAAGTCTTGAAGAAACTCTTGAATATTTCTGCCTCTTTTCTTTACCTCACTGTGATAACTTGCCCAGGCCAATTTGCTGGAAGGATAAGACAGCAACCTGGAGAAAAACTGAGTCTTCCACTGTGAGGCCATCCAAGACCAGACAGCTCCTGACCGACACACCAGCTGATCACAGACAGACACATAAGGAGAGCTTAACTGAGATTAGCGGAGCCTGACCCAGGTCATGAGAGATAACTGCCCAGTGGATCCATAGACTCATGATAGATAATGAGTGGATGTTGTTTTATGCCATTAATTTCTAGTGTGTTGGGTTTGCAACAAAAACTGATCCTCTCCCTAGGAGGAGCTTCACTGGTGGAGCTTGACCTCAGCAAGAGGTTCTCCCTGCTGCTTCTCTAACTCTTGTTGTCTTACCTTCTTGCCTGTGTATCTCCTTCTTGCTTTGCTCTGAGTGGTCAACCAGCATAAACTACCTTGGACCACTCCGCCAGTTTTTGACCCTCAGCTTCATGAGAAGCAGCCAACATTCTAGTTGTTTACCATTGCACACATTTGGTGCATGCTTATATGTCCCTCTGTTTTGTAATCCCTGCTCCTGTATCCTTGCTTTATGACATACTGATAGAGCATTTCGCATTCCAACAATACTGATATATTATTATGAGATTGTATTCTGAGTTATAACCAAATGTATTTCAGAGTAATAATGCCCCCTGGGAGTTACTAAGACAGTTTGAATGTGGCAGTAATGAGTCCAAAGTTGTAGGCTTAATCCCATTATCAGCAACTAGCTTTATACAAAAGAAATAATGGTTTCATTTAGACTATACTTTAAAATAGGTCAAACATTGCATGAATCCACACCCTATCACAAAGGATTCTAAGCAAAAGAGTGTTGGTGGCCCAGTACCAACGATAGCTAAAATTCTCACACACACACACACACACACACACACACACACATCTTAGTGACTACAGGGCAGGAGGAAATCTTTATATGAAGATAATATAAACACATCGGTAACTTACCTATGAAGAAAAACCAAGAATTAGCTAGTGAATACTTTTGATCTGAAAGTTTCTGTTCACTCTTCTTTGTAATTCATATGTTGAAATCTTAACCCCCAAAGGTGTTGGTATTAGGGGATGGGGTCTTTGAGAGGTGATAAGGTCATGGCAGTGGAGTCTCATGAAGGGGATTAGTGCCCTTACAGAAAAGCCCATTGCCCCTTCCACCAGGGGAGGACACAGCAAGAAGGCACCATTTGTAAGCCAGAAAGAGGATCCTCACCAGATACTGATTCTACTTTGTCCTTGAAGTTCTAGTTCTCTAGAACTGTGAGAAATAAATTTCTGTTATTTATAAGCCACCTAATTTATGGTATTTTGTTATAGCAGCCAAAATGGACTAAGACAATGTAGAATTGGCAATCAGAGAGTCCATTTGGAATAAGTATACTTCATAAAATAATCAATAGAACCATTTTTTGAGAGTTATTTTGTGTAGCACAACTATGGAATAGACTAAACATTTAAAAATGATGACACATCCCTTTGGTAAATCCTAGTAGATTTAACTATTAAGTGGACCAGTTGCCAAATAGATCAAATGTTGAGTGAACTCAGGTCTCTGTTGAGAGTTCCAGCTAAAAAGAGAGATATGCTTGAGTTACAGACAAGGACTGGGCCTCAAAACAAGAGATCTGGGAATTTTTATCTATTGTTGGTTGGTTATGTAATGCTAAGAGGATTGTAGGATCTTTATGTGTTTTTTGTCCTCTGAAGGGTAGAGTAGGGAAGCTAGTGGGTTATGACTCAGAGTGATAATTATAGTGTTGCATATTCACTGAGTCAAGGAATGGGCTCATTGGCTGGAGCAGAACTTCAGGCCTCTTTCCTGCCATGTCTTCTTCTATGTTTACTGTTCTGATTCTGACTGAGCAGAGCTATGTACAGAAAGATGAATATAATAAATTTGTTTAGGAAGGGTTTTCTATAAACATTGTTCTCTAAAGATATTCTTTGAGGGCTAAAACTAAAGTAATAAAGAAATTGACAGTATTTTAAAATAAAATATGTTTTTAAGATGATTTCAGTACTAAATTATACCACCTCCAAGGTTACCTATGTTTTTGCTCAGCAGTCTTTGTATTCCTCCCTTGATAATTTCCCAACTGTTTCAGCACTACAGCACTATCCCACTTTTTCCTCTCAGAAATGGCACTGCCACCATCTACTGTGAGGAGGAGACCAAAGCCACCTGGCATGGATCCCCTCCGTGTCATGTTGACATAAACCTATTCTCTCTATTCTGCTCTCAAAACCCCTAATTTTATTGTTTCTGCTTAATCTTCTTTCATACAAAGCCAAACTTCTCTATTTCCTCGCCAACAAATCATCCTTTAAGTTTAACCCTTTGGCATTCGTCTATTCTTGCGTTGCTATAAAGAAACATCTGAGACTGGGTAATTCACAAAGAAAAGAGGTTTAATTGGCTCACGGCTCTGCAGGCTGTAGAGGAAGCATGGCACATCTGCTCAGCTTCTGGGGAGGCCTCAGAAACTTAAAATCATGGTGGAAGGTGAAGGGGAAGCAAGCCCTTCTCATGGGTGGAGCGGGAGGAGGGGTTGGAGGGGAGGTGCCCCACACTTTTAAACCAAAAGATCTCATGAGAACTCTGCCACTAGAACAGCACCAAGGGGATGGTGCTGAACCATTCATGAAGGAACCACCCCCATGATCGAACCACCTCCCACCATGCCCTACCTCTAACACTGGGGATTACAATTAGACATGATTGGGTTGGGGCACAGATCCAAACCATAGTACCTTTCTAATCTCATTTTCATTGGATCTAATTAAGCTCATACTCATGGTAATGACCAGCCACTGTGAAATCTGACAACCTTTATTAGTGCTCATACTTCTTCAGCTTTATTGAACATTTAATGCTGTTGGACACCTCTCTTCCTTGAGCGGTTCTCTTGTTTTGGCTTCTGTGCCCATATATTCTAGTGGTTCCTCTGTTTTTTCCAACCACTCCTTTTCTAGATCTTGCATGGTTCTTCTCTCTCCACCTGCCCCTAAGTGTAAAATTTCCTAAAGTTAAATCCTTGGCCTTCTGTCTTGGTTTCTTTATACTTTCTTCCATAACTGCATTCCTTTGTCCTTCATTTTTCCCACCCATTTCATTCCAATACTTACAGGGCTCCAGCCCAACCTATTACAAAGTGTCTACCCTGCCCATAGAAATATCCTGCAATATTCAGGCAAGCCACACTGATTTCAACACTTGTTGAATAAAGAATAAGTCATTTTTTTTCAATTTAGTATTCTATTTGATATGTCATGACCAAAATAAATGTGTCTAGAACTGTATGTTGGGTCATAGTATTTATGTGTTGTTATTTAAACACATTATTCATATTTTGTTATTGCAGAGCTTCAACCCCTGAAGCCACCAAATTCAAAGGTCTATGAGTCTTCTCCTTACTGTAGGTGGGTGAATTTGCTGTTTCTGGATATACTCACGTTTATTCCAACTTCTATTCAGTCTGCAGTGAGGAAAATAACTCTGACTTTGCCTTGTTTTCTGCTGCAGCACAACAGGGCATGCCAAGAGAACTCTGTAGGGAAGGCTCAAAATTAAATGAATTTTACTCAAGTACTGAATTTTCAGCAAGCCAAAGAACTTCTTTTCAGTGGTTTTATTTGGTATTTTCACCAGAGCTTTCTCACATAATCGTCTCCTTTCTTTTGTTCCCTGTCGTCAAATGCATGGCCTCTGATGCTGAACATTCCCCGGGGGAGAGACATGGATGATCACAATGGCCCAGCATGGGTCTTGGCACTCGATGTGTGAGGCAAGTTAGCACCAAGCTGCAGGGCTGCAAGTGGGGCAGAGCTTCTCCAGGCCTTCCTATGGGGCTTCATCACACTCTGTAGCTTTTCCTCGAGTTCAAATCCTGTCCACAGACAAACTTCTAACAAAGCTTTTGTTGTTCTGATGAGTCACAGCTTCTCCCTATTTATGTCAATCATTCGGGGCACTCAGTTTTAACTATACAGTGTTTCTGCATACTCATCGGTTTCTTTTTCCTATAAATGTGAAAATAGTGTAAGAAAAGACTCATCCCCTCAGTGTCCACAAAAGCAGTGAGAAAAAAAGAGAAAATACTCATCCTGTAGCTCTTGAACTCAAGTAGTGAAGACTCAAGGCAGCAACCCCAGACTAAGTATCAATGATTCACACTTGTGAGAGGAAGGGAACTTGAATTATAGTGCACTAATCAAATAATTATTCTTTCCTACAGCGCAATCATGGTCATGACAATGAACTAACAATGAGTCATGCACTTTCTAAAATCACTTTTGGCCTTAACCTAAATTGTGTGGATGGCTTCTTTCTCAACTTGTGAAACTAGGCCTTTTGCGTCCTCATGTTCTAAAATGCTATTACTCAAAGTGTGGTCTCTGGCCCAGCAGCATCAGCATCTCCTGGAACCTGTTAGAAGTGTAGAATCTTGGCCAGGTGCAGTGGCTCACACCTGTAATCCTAGCACTTTGGGAGGGTGAAGCGGGCAGATCACGAAGTCAGGAGTTCAAGACCAGCCTGGCCAAGATAGTGAAACCCCGTCTCTACTAAAAAATACAAAAAAATAGCTGGGCATGTTGGTGGGCACCTGTAATTCCAGCTACTTGGGAGGCTGAGGCAGGAGAATTGCTTGAACCCGGGAGGCGGAGGTTGCAGTGAGCCGAGAGCGTGCCATTGCACTCCAGCCCAGGTAACAGTGTGAGAAGTATAGAATCCCAGTACCAATTCAGGCCTGGCGGATGAACACTTGTGTTTTTAACAAGATTCTCAGGCGATATATGTGCATTTTAGATTCCAAAGGCATTGAATTCCTTTTTGTCTACTTCATTCATTGATCCTTTAGTAGCCTTTCTACTCTCCTTATATATTTTTTAGAGAATAAATTTATTTTTAACAATTCTGGATCACTCACCCACATACATTTGTAGAGTTTAAGACTTCTTGGTTGCAATGATTAGAGCTAATATTAGTCAGATCATTTTTCAACTATCTGAAGGCAAACCAATGAGAATCCCTAATTCCTGACTTAATGGGTAAGCCAGTTCAGAGCTCTTTCTGTCTCTCTCTCATACACACACACAGCCTGCCAGTGGGTGTGTAAAAGTCTAGTTTTCTAGTCACAAGTAGAGAGTTGGTTAAACATTATA